>NC_000021.9:5010000-5166246 GCF_000001405.40 Homo sapiens | reverse complement strand
GATCCACCCCGCTTGGCCTCCCAGAGTGCTGGGATAACAAGCATGAGCCGCCGTGCCTGGCCCAAAGTACGGGTTTGTATGTTGCTGTATCTATTCAATTCTCCTGGTAAAGACCTGAGTGGAATTTCTGGGTCATAGGGTAACTCTGTGGTTAGCTTTTTGAGCAACTGCCAACTTTTTCCAGAGGGCTCTACATTCCCACCAGCAACATAGTGGATTCCAGCTGGGACCCAGAGAGTCCCAGCTTCTGTGTGTCCTGCCAGCACTTGTCTCACTGTGTTTTTGGTTGTGGCTGTCCCAATTGGCAGGCGTTTCCCCAGTGGCTGGTGATGTGCTGCGGCTCGTGGGCGTGTGGCCCATTTTTCTGCCTTCTTTGGAAGGATGTCTGTTCAGATCCTTTCCCCATGTTTAAATAGGGTTATTTGTTTTTTATTATTGAATTGTAAGTTCTTTATATATCCTAGGTACCAGGTCCTTATATATGATTTGCAAGTATTTTCTTCCATTTGTTGTCTTTTGAAGCACCAAAGTTAAATTTTGATGAAATCCAATTCAACTCTCTCTTTTATTGCTTAAATTTTTTGCTTTGGACCTAGAAAATCATTGCCTTTGGTCAAAAAGATTTTCTCTTGCATTTCCTTCCAAGATGTTCGTAATTTGAGCACTTGCATTTAGGTCTGTGATCTACTTTGACTTAATTTCTGTGTATGGTGAGAGGTAGGGTCCAAATTTGTTCTTTTCAAATGACCCAGCAGGTGTCCCTATCCCATCTGTCATGACGATGCTTTCCTCCCTGCAGGGTGGCCCTGGCCCCCTTGCCAGATTCCAGCTGGCCGTCAGTGCTCGCGTGTCTCTCTGAAGAGGCTCTGCGGTTCTGGTCCCTGTGCCTGAGCTCCAGGTGCCGCCAGGTGAGGCCCCTGCTGCTCGCCTTGGGCTGTGCTTTCCCCCAGCCACTCTCCTTCCCAGATGCAGCCCAGAGCAGCGTTCAGGCACACGCAGGTCTCATCACACCCCACTGTGTCCTACTGCAACTCTGGGTGTCCTTCAAGCCCTGAGGCAAATCTGCATTCTTTGCTGGATTCAGAAACATTCAGACTGTGCCCCAGCCAGAAGCTTCTGAGGAGGAGGTATTTCAGTGGGCCTCTAGCACAGTGTTCTACTGCTTCAGTTCCCAGGACCTACGGGCACCCGGGCCCACGGCTGGCACTTTTGCATCTGTGTATTTGGGATCTTTTCTGCCCTGTGGCTTGAGAGCCCCAGGAAGTCCCAGCATGGCCCCTCTTGAGACTGGTGGGAGTTTGTCCCATGTCCGAACAGAGGTAATTGGGCATTTGGTAGGAGATCACCTAGAAAGGCCGCTCTTGGGACTGCTGTTTAGGCTGTGAACTCCCATAAAACGGCTTCATCTTGGCCTCAGACTCCAGACAAATGCTTCTTAATATACTGAAATCTCTTCTTTGAACATTTTACAATGCCAATAGAACACTTTTTAAGTCAAGCTATACTGTATTACACACGCTCGCGCGCACACACAACGCTTCCCCTCAGAAGTGGAACTGCCAGGTTGTAGTGCATGAGCCCTTTTTCATCTTGGCAGTGGCAGATGTGTTTTGATCGTTTGTCATGGGTGGTGGTAGAATGTTAAGCATGTTTGAATAGCCACCGAGAATAGGTTGATTATGGAAAGAAAACACGGACAAAGTAGATTATGGACTGAATTGGGTTATACCAAGGAATTCCTGTTGCTTTTGCTAGTTGTAATAATAGCATTGTGTTTTGGTAAGAAAAAGGCCTTAGTGTTTAGTAATGCATACTGAAGCAGATGGGGCAAAATAACAGGTTGTCTGAAATTTGCTTTATTTTTTTATTTTATTTTATTTTTTTAGACAAGAGTCTTGCTCTGTCACCCAGGCTACAGTGCAGTGGTGCGATCTCAGCTCACTGCAACCTTTGCCTCTTGGGTTCAAGGGAATCTCCTGCTAAGTAATCCAAGTAGCTGGGATTACAGGCACCTGCCACTGTACCCGGCTAATTTTTGTATTTTTAGTAGAGACGGGGTTTCACCATGTTGCCCAGGCTGGTCTCGAACTCCTGACCTCAAGTGATCTGCCCACCTCGGCCTCCCAAAGTGCTGGGATTACAGGCGTGAGCCACCATGCCTGGCCTGAAATTCGCTTTAAATTACCTCAGGCAAATACAGAAATGTCCATGGCTTGATAAGAGGATGCTGAGGCAGCAAGATGCTGAGATCTCAGGATCTGGGTGATAGGCGGCTGGAAGGGCTCTGTGCTATCCTTTCTTCCTGTGGTTGAAAATGTTCATAATTTAAAGAAGGATGTTAAGGTTCGGAGTGTAGGACTTCCGAAAACATTGCATCTCCAGTGGGAATTATTGAGAGTGAGTGGCGACAGTTGCTCTAAGGCCAGCCGAGCAGATAGGTGTCTATCCTCAGCTCTCCAGGGTCTGTGGGCAGCTCTGCTTTTTCCTCTAGTTGCATTTCTTGAGGCCACTTAGGTACATTTCCTTTCTATTCTCTCCCTTTCCTGCCCAGACATTATACAACGTGAAGGCTGAGATCTTTCCCCCTTCGGGAATGGAGTATTGCAGAACAGGCTCCCTCTGCTCCCTGGAGGTTTTGATCACGAGGCTCTCAGACCTCTTGGAGGTGGATAAAGATGAAGCACTGACTGAATCTGATGAGCATTTTTCGACAAAGCTTATGTATGAAGGTAGGTGGTCTCGAACCCATGGGCTCAAGCAGTCCTCCCGCCTTGGCCTCCCAGAGTGTTGGGATTACAGGTGTGAGGCACTGCACTCAGCCTATCTTGCATTTTGAATGGCTCTTTTACCCAGGCATCATAGCGTTACACCCTGTGCCATTAGTCATGTGGGAAACATGGTTTCCTGAGTTGTGCAGATCTTCCAAATGTGGGCACCTTTCGTTTGACAATATTTTTTTAAAATCTGCATTTGTGATCTCTCAGGGAGGGCTTGGAGCATCAGAACTCTTTCAAGCTCACAGTGGCAAGTGTAAGTTTTCCAAAATTCTGATTTTTGCTTAAAGTCTCAGATGGCATCATTGGCAGCAAATAGTCGTGTTGTTTTCTTTGAAGTGACAGGCTTACATCATTCATTTTTAATCAGACGTCTACCAAATACCCAACACTGAATAACTAGCTTCCCCAGCGCTCTTGCAAGTGAAAAGGGCGTTCTGTGAAAACAGCGGCTATTTCAGCTCGCAGCACCGAGCGCTCCCCGTGTGCTTTCCCTGAGCCAGCTGTCATTCTGCAGCAGAGACCCAGAGAATGTCAAGAACACAAGCACTCAAGAATGGAAATAACTCAAACGTCCTTCAGCTCGAGAGCGGTTAAACTGGCACATCTGATTCCTCCTCAGCAGTGAAACAGAAGGGACTGTTGACACACGCAGTGCTGTGGTTGGATCTCAAGGGCATTATACTAAGAGAAAAACGCCAGTCCTATAAGGAGGTGTACTGTGTGATTCCATTTCTAAATGACATCCTCAAAATGCCAGCCTCAGAAGGAGAGCGGGTCAGTGTTCCACGGAGCAGTGGGAGGCAGCAGGAGGCCGTCCTCTGTGGTAATGGAGAGTTCTGGGCCAGGGCCGCTGTGGTTGTTACACGAATCTACACATGTGACAAATGCCATAGAATTAGACCCAAAGAATGCCTGCGAAAGCTGCTGAAATCCAGTGGGGTCTGCAGCCTGGTTCACTCTGTAGTGAAATCCAGTGGGGTCTGCAGCCTGGTTCTATCTGTATTGAAATCCAGTGGGGTCTGCAGCCTGGTCCACTCTGTAGTGAAATCCAGTGTGGTCTGCAGCCTGGTTCTATCTGTATTGAAATCCAGTGGGGTCTGCAGCCTGGTCCACTCTGTAGTGAAATCCAGTGGGGTCTGCAGCCTGGTTCTAGCTGTATTGAAATCCAGTGGGGTCTGCAGCCTGGTCCACTCTGTAGTGAAATCCAGTGGGGTCTGCAGCCTGGTTCTATCTGTATTGAAATCCAGTGGGGTCTGCAGCCTGGTTCACTCTGTAGTGAAATCCAGTGGGGTCTGCAGCCTGGGTCACTGTATGGTACCAGTGTCAGCTTCCTGTGTTACACGAGATGGCACAGTTGGGTGAAGCTGGTGATGAAGGTATGTGACCCCTCTACTACTTTTACAACTTCTTGTGAGTCTATAAACATTTCACAATTAAAAAAAAGTCTACTCAGGAGCTGAATTTAATAAAATGAGCACTTTTGACTGCTTTGTGAAGCGTGGCATTTTTTTTTTTGTTTTTTTGCTGTGAGTTCATGGTAGTAAAGAACATGAGTGACATGACTGCGCAGTCTGGCCCGAGTTCATGCCATTGTGGTTGCCCCAGCAGCGCGAGGTCAGCAGCGTAGAAAGGCAGCAGTGTGAAAGCTATGAGCTTGCGGGTGCCCTGAGAGCCACACTCTGAGAACTGTCACTCCTTTGCCTTCCTCCTGACACTCCTAGGGCCTCTGCATGTCCTGTAGTAGCTCCTGTCCTCAAAGGTCCCCCATCCCCAACTACAGGATGTCCACCTCCCTGAGCCCTTCTCTGCTGCTCGTGGCCTTCTGGTCACTCACTCCCCCTGGGCGGTTGCTCGGTATCCTCATGATGGGAAGCTGTGACCTCTTTACCAGGTCTACTGCTACTGGATGGCAAGGATCCTGTCTTGCTTACTTTCATATCTCCAGGGCTAGTCCCAGTGAATGATCACTTAAGTGTTTGAATTGCATTGAATTACATGATGGTTGTGTTTTAATAATTAATGTTAATAATAACACCTGCCATATATTAAGACACTACCATGTCCCAGGAGTGGTACTAAGTGCTTTACATACAAGGGGTCTTCAAAAAAATCATGGAAGATACGTTATGAAAAAACTATGCATGGATTTCAACACTTTTTGCACCAAAATAAGCTCCTACTCACTGAGCAGGATCTAGTTTGAGGCACTAAGAAGGATAAGACATCAGTTTTAAAAGAGCCCCTATCAGAGCAACATGAATTCTGCTAAAATTAAATCAAGAACCAACATTGGCCGGGTGCAGTGGCTCACGCCTGTAATCCCAGCACTTTGGGGGGCTGAGGCAGGCGGATCACCTGAGGTCAGGAGTTCAAGATCAGCCTGGCTAATATGGCGAAACCCCGTCTCTACTAAGAATACAAAAATTAGCTGGGCGTGGTGGCAGGCGCCTATAAGCCCAGCTACTTGGGAGGCTGAGGCAGGAGAATTGCCTGAACCCAGGAGGCGGAGGTTGCAGTGAGCCAAAATTGCGCCACTGCACTCCAGCCTGGGCAACGAGCGAAACTCCGCCTCAACAACAACAACAACAACAAAACAACCAACATCAAATTTATGGTGAAGCTTGGGTGGAAGAATGGTGAAATCATTGATGCTTTATGAAAAGTTTATGAAATTCTTTGGACAGTGCCCCAAAGAATTAGTAGTTTGCAAATGGATATCTTGTTTTAAGAAGGGACGAGATGATGCTGAAGATTAAGGCCACAGCAAGCAGACCATCCACATCCATTTTCAAGGAAAAAATTCACCTTGTTCATGCCCTAATTGGAGGGAACTGACAACAGCAGAAATGACAGCCAACACCGCAGACATCTGAACTGGTTCAGCTTATGCAATTACGCCTGAAGGGTGAGCAAGCGTTCCACTCAGTGGGTGCCAAAACCCTAGTACCCAGGTCCGTGGCCGACCAGAGCAGAGCTTCCCATGGAAACTTCAAACACACGGGATCAAGATCCTGAAGCATTTACTCAAAGAACCATAACAGGAGATGCAGTGTGGCCTTCCCAGTACCATCCTGAAGACAAAGCAGACACGGCAATGGCTACCAAGAGGTGGGGTGGCCCCACCAAAGCAGAAGCAGACTGGTCAAGAGCAGAGGCCACAGCAACAGGTTTTTGGGATACTCAAGGCATTTTGCTTGTTGACTTTCTGGAGAGTCAAAGGACAGCAGCGTCTGTGTATTATGAGATTGTTTTGAGGAAGATAGCAAGAGCTTTGGTAGAAAAACCCCTGGGGAAGCTTCACCAGAGAGTCCTCCTCCACCACGACAAAGCTCCTGCTCATTCCTCTAACAAGCCCAACTTCGTGAGGGTTTCTATGGGAAATCATGAGGCATCCACCTTGTGGACCTGATTCGGCTCCTTCTGACTGATTTTGGTTTCCTGATCTTAAGAAGTCTTTAAAAGGCACCCATTTTTATTCAGCTAATAATGTAGAGAAAGACTGCGTTGACATGGCTAAATTCTCAGGCCTCCCAGTTCTTCAGGGATGGACTAAATGGCATCGTAAGCAATGGCATCATTGCTTACAAACATGTCTTGACCTTGGTGGGGCTTATGTTGAGAAATAAAGCTTATATTTTCTGTTTTCATCTTTGGATTCCATTTTTGCATGAACTTTTTGTAGTTCCCTCATACGTATTCTCTTTCCATCCTTAAAAAGCAGCTCTGTGAGGCTGGTGGTGGTCTCAGCACTATACAGCGGTCATTGAGCCTGGAGGCCTTGGGGTGCTCTTCTGAGTGGCAGAGTTGGCTTCAGACCCAGTGGTCTTGGATACTGCCACTTACCAGACAGAACCCATTAACTGCCAAAGTCACCATACTGTGGAAGATGACACAAAAATTTGAAAACAAAATTAAATCATTTATTAACCTCACAGGAAAAATGCAGTTTTCTGTACACGTCCAGCATAATTCATTCTAATCCAGAACTAATTGAAATTGGACTCAATGAAATAGGGGTTGCCACCGTGAAAGTGCATGGCTTTATCTTCAGGCGCAGCTACAAGGCACTGGGCTCTGTGTCCGCAGTGTTTTGTCAGACAGCGTTGGGTGAGAGGATTGGGTAACGACGGCCGTGACTCTCGCCTGAGTACTGGAAGGCCCGTCCTGGATGACACATCGCTTCCTCTCGTTTCAGTTGTCGACAACAGTAGCAACTGGGCAGTGTGTGGGAAAAGCTGCGGTGTCATCTCCATGCCAGTGGCTGCTCGGGCCACTCACAGGGTCCACATGGAAGTGATGCCGCTCTTCGCCGGGTATCTCCCCCTGCCCGACGTCAGGCTGTTCAAGTACCTCCCCCATCATTCTGCACACTCCTCCCAACTGGACGCTGGTAAGGACTTTGGAAGAAAAAGTTTACCTTCAGTATTTGAGCAGGTGAGCACTTTGTGCGAGAGGTGATAAACTTATGACTGAGCAGGTTGGAGAACTAGCGGCGTGTTTTCAGTGCCGGTAGAAACTGGTACTAGAAGCCTCATCCGCTGTTAGAATCTTAGGCACCTGCTCTGAAAGCCAAGCCTCTGTGCACAGAGTGCTCTGTAAAGGGGCAGCCTCGGGTGGCATTCTGCACGTTCAGCCTGGCTCCGTGTGGCTTTGCCCGTCCCCAGGTGAGTGTCGGCGCAGCTTGGGTCTAACTTCCTGTGTGTTTTGCAGACAGCTGGATAGAAAACGACAGCCTGTCAGTAGACAAGCACGGGGACGACCAGCCGGACAGCAGCAGCCTCAAGAGCAGGGGCAGCGTGCATTCGGCCTGCAGCAGCGAGCACAAAGGCCTACCCATGCCCCGGCTGCAGGCACTGCCGGCCGGCCAGGTCTTCAACTCCAGCTCGGGCACACAAGTCCTGGTCATCCCCAGCCAAGATGACCACGTCCTGGAAGTCAGTGTAACATGACAACGCCAGGGTGAACACACGCCACTTCCCAGCTAGGAGTGCACTTTATGGGACTGTGACTGGACTCTTCCGTTCTGGCTCCAGCCAGACCTTCAGTGGTCCTGCCTGGCCGTGGGGACATCAGAGAGTGTCATCACGCAGCTGGCCAGCTGAGTTCTGTTGTTGTTTTCATGCCGCCTGTGATCTCAGATTCCTGCTTTTCTCACCCCGTCCCCATGCTGGTGTCCGACGCCGCTTACTCAGAGCCCTGGCCTCCCTCCCCCTACCTCACACGCTGCTCATGAAAGTTTCCACCCACGCTGTCTCCACGGAACAGCCTCCGTCTGCTGGCTCTTCGTGGAAGGCCATTTGTCTTTCAGGTAGACACTCAGCAGCCCTCACGGTCTTAGTGACGTGTGTGCCTTTCTGGTCACACAGCTGCCCAGTTTCCTGATCGGGGTGGATTTGTGTCCCCTAAGGGGTAAAACAGCCGTTTACCGCAGATCCTCTCATTGTGCTTTTCTAGAATAACACCCTTCTAGGGGAGGCGGGTGGGGGAGGGAGGGATCATAACCCCTTCTGTGCCTTGGGATGCCGGAGCTGGGGGACCTGGAGGCCCATCAGCCGGAGCCACGTGAAAGGTACTGAAGAAAGCTGAGACCCGGCTGTGAGGAGCGCCTCAGCGGTGAGGTGGTTTAGGGATAAATGTTTCTGGAACCCTGTGGTCCCCCATAATGTTGATAGAATATCATATGCACTGGGAGTTAAATATATTTAATTTAATGATCATTATATATGTGGGGGTTAATATGTTGTTTTTCTGTCCCTTTAAAGTCTTTACATGTAATTGTAGCTGTATAATCGTTATTTTTCTTTTGCATCTTAAGTCTTAGAAATTAAGATATTCCATCGTGAGGATGAGAGAGGTCCTCAGTGTGTTTTTGGTCTGGTTGTAGGGAAGGACTCAAGTCCTGGAATGTCCTCCACTGGTCTACTGAGTTGCAGTCACACTGTTCCAATGGATTATTTGCTTTCGGTTGTAAATTTAATTGTACATATGGTTGATTTATTATTTTTAAAAATACAGACTAACTGATGTAATGTTTATGTATAAGTTGCACCAAAAATCAAGGACAAAAATAAGTGTGTTTGTTTTTACAGGTGTGAAAGTCACAGCTTGTAAATAAGTGTTGTATGTATTAAACCTTTTCCAGTTCTCCAAAGCGATGTATTTTTGTACACTTGAAATAGAGTACTCTTAATTTACTGGGCAAATGTGCTTGGAATTGAACTTGACAAGATTAGCTCAAGCAGATAGAGTCGGGTCCAGCAGTGGGTGGCCCTCGTGTGAATCCCCGTGGATGTGCAAGTTGTGGAGAGAAGGAGCACCGGGTTCCTGCCCAGCACTGTGCTTGCGGGAGGCGGTGGGGCATGGGAGGAAGGAGGCACAGACCGGGGAAATATGACAGCCGTCATTTCCAGTATTCTCTGTGTTGTCTTTTAGCTCATTCAATAAATAAAGGTGGTGTGATTTTTTTTTCCTCCTGTCTTTTTCATTTGTAGAAACTGGAGACGTGTAAAGAAGATAAATAATTGTGTAATTAAACTTTCCAGAAATTTATCTTCCTCATGTGCAGTTTAACAAACTTGGTCAAACTAGTTAGCAAATTAGAACTTCAGAATCTAATGATAGTTTAGGGTTTCTAAAATAAGGTTTTTTATTGTAAAAATTGACGATTGCCCTGCATTTCTACCAAGTCCTGTGAATAAAGAGATGGGAGATTTGATTCCGTCAGAAGAGACTGTAATCCGTGTCGTCAGCCTGGGAGCCTTCCCCAGTGTAATGTAGCTTTCTCTCTTACCTTCTGGAAGAGGGAATGTTTCATTTATTACTGTTTGATTTTCTTGTATCTGGTTCTACTCCCAGGATGAAATTATCCAACTACATATATATTTAGAGGAAGAAAGTGAAGGGGAAATTTAAAATGTTTACGGCGCTTAATTGCCTGGAAATGAAATGAAATCAAATTTATCAGTTTTTTTCCCCCTAATTACCCAAAAGATCTTTTGCAAACTATGTTACATGAATGCTTCTGCCTCTTTAAGACAAAGAAGAATGTCACCCAAAATTGTCATTTTTTTCTTAATGTTCATCATAAAAGTCCTAAAAGAGTAACTGTAATTGGATGTTTATTGTTTTTATCTAAAGTAAGGTGTATGTGTTTGAGACAAGCTGGTTTTGTTGATAAAGAGATGTTAAATAATTGTGAAGCCAGATATGCAATGTGTATCTAAAAAGCAAGGAATTTGCAGCCGTTTTACAAATATCTGTGGAACATGTAAATACTGTCAAATGGAAAATAAAATAAGTTATAATTTTTGTGAATTTCATGGGATGTCCTATGATTGGAAAAATTATAACTCTTCTGATTCTAATGTGGAAATTGTTGTATTTAATCTGAAAATGACTTTACCTACAACAGTTCCATTGTCAGCACAGCCTAGGAGGGTCAGATTCCTGTATTAATTACTCTTAGTGGAGATGCCAGATATCCCATACAGAATTAGCAGAGAAAATACACACAGGCTTCTATTCAAATTTTCTTTAGTGCTTAAAATTAAGTTTTAAAATGAAATCAGACACTGCAGGTTTGTATATAAAATGAAAAGCTATACTACTTTTTATAAAAGGGCAAACTGGGCTGATGTAAATGTTTTACTTTCAACTGTGTTCTTTAAAATAAATCCTACCTGGTTTTTAAATTTTATTTTTCATGAAAATGCTCCTTTCTCTACATTTATTCATCCTATATACATCAGGCTGTAAGACCCCCCCCAGTCATCATTAATACAATGTGTTGGGATTCTGTGACTGGAAAAGGTGACAAGTTGGTGACTTTGACACTGCAGGTATTCCATTTTCATGGTTTACTATGAAAAGTCATTTTTCATATTATGTAATATATTGTTAGATTAAAACCATTGTATTAAGACTTTAAAATGTAAGCATTGTAATTCTGAAAATACACATTTTAAGAAGAAACTATTTTGCACTGGATCTTTTGCTGCGACATGGTGTGACAACAGTATGTAATGTGAAGATTTTATTGTTTTATCTCCCTAGTCCTTGTTCCTGACTCTTGGGCATAGATTATTTGCCTTTTGGGAAACATTCGGATTTTTTTTTTTTTTTTTTTTTTTTTTCTCTGAGACAGTCATGCTCTGTTGCCTAGGCTGGAGTGCAATGGCGCGATCTGGGCTCACTGCAGCCTCCGCCTCCCAGGTTCAAGCCATTCTCCTGCCTCAGCCTCCCGAGTAGCTGGGACTACAGGCATGCGCCTCATTTTTATACTTTAGTAGAGATGATGTTTCACCATGTTGGCCAGGCTAGTCTCGAACTGCTGACCTCAGGTCATCCACCCGCCTCAGTCTCCCAGGCGTGAGCCACCGCACCGGCCAGCATTCGGGACTTTATTCATAATTCCTTACCCAACAGTTCACAAGAACGAAGACATTTGGGTGTGCAGCGCTCTCATGTTGTGGACGCTGCTGTGCCAGGCTGGGCGTCCGTGCGGAGCGCGCCCAGCGCTGGAGCGCGCCTAAGAGGCGCCCTGCAGTGTGGCTCCGGGGTGTGGGCGGGGCCCGGAGAAGGCCCCGCCTTGGGAGGGGTTGGGCCTCGCGTTCAAACTCCGCCTCGGGGCGGGGCGAGGGCGACGCAGCTCCTGCCTCCTGGGCCGCTGCGGACGGTGGTGCGCGACCCCGTCCCGGGCGCGCGCGCTGTGGGCGGTGCACGCCGTCGCTTCCCGGAAGTGCGTGCTGTGGGCGGTGCCGCGCGGACCCCCGGGAAGTGTCTCTGTGGGCGGCCGCCGGGTTGAGCTGCGGCACACGTGCGACAGCCGTGATGAAGTTCGCTTACCGGGTGAGCGCGGGCGGCGGGCGGTCTGTTGGATCGGCGCGGCTCTTCCGGTGGACGGCGCCTGAGCTGGCTCCGGGCGGGCTGGGGGCGCGTGGTCTGCTTTTGCGGCGTCTGGCCGCGTGGGGGTCGCCGGCTGTCTGCGCGCCCATGGCCTCGGGGACGCGGGGCTGTGGTGGGGCTCCTGGGAGAGCTGGGACGGAGGCGCCGACGGCTTCTCGGAGGGAACAGGGACATTTGTCGGGGTCCCGGGATATTTTTAACCTGAGTATGGCCCAACCTAAAGGCTGGAGTTGGTGCAGTCGGGGAGGGCACAGCACCCTCGGGAGGGATGAGGAGGTGGGACGGGGCGGGGACGCGGGCGCGCGCAGGCGGGGTGAGAACAGCAGGGACCCGGGGCCCGGGACTGGTCCCTAACGAGCGAGCGTCCAGGTGAGCGGAA
Organism: Homo sapiens; assembly: GCF_000001405.40. NCBI lineage: Eukaryota > Metazoa > Chordata > Mammalia > Primates > Hominidae > Homo > Homo sapiens. Next base: position 5,154,186 of record NC_000021.9, on the reverse strand, counting down.
GGGCGGGGAACCCAGGTGTGAGCTCTGTTTCCCGAGGCCGGAGGGAATTCCTGAGGCGGACGCCCTCAGCTTTGAGAGCCAGGGAAGACTTGTCCCAGATGTGAAGTGCAGGAGGCGGGTGAGACAGGTAATAAGAGGGGGCCGCGGAGCCGGCCTGGGGGTCTCTGAAGCGTTTGCTACAGCTGGCCGGTTATGGGGACGCCTGTGTTTCCCACAGTGGCCCTGACCGTTGCGCTTCCAGGGTTGCACGGGCCGCCTGCTGCTGAGCCCACCGTGTACTACACTTGTCCTGTCCGAAACTGGGCATGGTACTGGCCCCTCAGAGTGCTGCTCCTGTGTCCCCTGTGCTGGTGGAGCCACCGCTGTGTGCCCAGCACCAAACCAGAAACCATATCCACGTCCTCACAGGCCAGGACTTCATCCGCTCCACATTCCTACTGCAAGGTGGCAAAAAATGTGCCTTGGAGCCTGCCTGGCCGCTTAAAGTCCTTCTGCTGACCAAGCTCCTCCCTGAGGTCCTGAGGGCGCTGCCCACTCACAGCTTCAGGGCCTGGCTGGTGCCTTCCCATTTAGATTCCAGCTCAGGTGACCCTTCCAGGTGCCTCTCCGTGACCACCGTCTAAAGTAGCCCCTGCTCCCACACTTCTCATCCCCCTCCTGCTAGAGAGAGAATATAAGGTGTGCGTGTCTGTGCGCATGGCAGTCTCCAGTGAACGCTCGTGCTCGTGAGTTAGTAAATAGGATGCTGGCTTACCACACTTCTGGAAGCCCTGAGTTCTAAGCACTTTTGGGGTGCTGTTCCATTGTTGCAGCTTTTTTCTTGGTGAAGTGTGGGCTCCATGCCCCTCTTCACCTGGCAGACGCCTCCTGTCTTGGGAGGCTTCCTCAGTGCTCACAGGGGCATCTTACCCATCTCTGTGGGAGCTTGGGGCCGCCCGGGCTCCTCTGGTCTCCTGAGGATCAGGCTCACTTCTTCCTCTCTTACCCAGGAAAGGTGAACGGGCCCCCAAGGTGGGGTTCTCTATGCCATCTCTCTGCCCAGATGCCTCACTTAGTGCTTTTCTGGGAGTCGACTGTTTTCTTTGTGTTAAGACAATTTTGTTTTCTTCACAGTTTTCAAATTTGCTGGGTACGGTGTACCGGCGTGGGAACCTAAATTTTACCTGCAATGGAAATTCAGTTATCAGTCCCGTGGGCAATAGAGTCACTGTATTTGACCTTAAAAAGTAAGTATGTGAAAGTGGTATTCATAATAGTGATACTGATTACTATTATCACCATTTTTTAAGTAACATATGAAAACTGATAGTGTCTTCTGTGCCTTCCTTTTAATGGTGCACCCGTTAATTAAGGGAGCCCAGGAGAGGACTACAGGACAGACTAGGGTCAGCAGATCAGTTGTGGAAATTGGCAGCCAGACCCAGTTCTTCGTTGTAGTGCCTTAGCCAGGCCCCATAAAGTGGTGTGTCACTTGGCTCCGTTCTGTGGGAAGGGACCCTGTCCCTGTGCTGTGAAGGGTGGGTGGGGGAAAAGGTGTAGCTCAGGGTTAGCCCTTCCCCCATCAGGGAAGGCCCCTAAGGGCTGAAAGGCCAGGGCTGCTGGGGGAGTTGAAGGTACCTTGGACCCCTGCTCGGGAGCCCTGCTGCCACTGGGCCTCACCAGTCGGACGGGCAGGCCCAAAGCTTCCAGCTCTGCAGCCGGAGGTCAGTTTTATTCGCTGGGGTTTAGCGGTTTCTTCCTGTGTGCTGTTGCACTTTGCTTCACTTTGTTGCACTCTGGCTCTGTGCGGATGCTGTTTTACCACGAAGCGAAGGTGTGTGGAAACACTGCTTGGAGAAAGTTGGTCGGTGCCATTTTTCCAGCAGTGGGGGCTCACTTCATGTCTCTGTGTCACATTTTGGTAATTTTGTGATATTTCAAAGTTTATTATACCTGTGAGGGTGATTTGTGATCATCTTTGCTGTTGCTATCGTGATTGTTCTGGGGTGCCGTGATCCGTGCCCATGTAAGACAGCGAGCTTAATCGGTAAGCACTGTGTGTGCTGTGCCTGCTCCACCGACCGGCTGTTCCCCACCCCCCCACGTCTCTCTTCCTCTACTTGGGTCTCCCTATTCCCTGACACAAACAATGCTGAAATTAGGCCAGTTAATAATGGCCTACAGTGGCCACTACGTGTTCATGTGAAAGGAAGAGTCACACAACTCTCACCTGAAATCAGAAGCTAGAAGGGACTCAGCTTAGTGAGGAAGGCATGTCAAAAGCTGAAATAGGCCAAAAGCCAGGTCTCTGCCACCAAACAGGCAAGTTGTGAATGCAAAGAAAAAGCTTTTGAAGGAAATTAAAAATGCTACTCCAGTGAACACACAAATTACAAGAAAGCCAAAATAGCCTTATTGCAGATACGGATAAAAGTTTGAGTGATCCAGATAGAAGATCAAACCAGCCACAACATTCCTTTAAGCAAGTCAAAGCCTAATGCACAGCAAGGCCCTACCTGTCCTCTGTTCTGTGAGGGCTGAGGTGAGGAAGCTGCAGGAAAGAAGTTGGAAGCTAGCAGAGGTTGGTTCATGAAGTTTAAGGAAAGAAGCCATCTCTACAACATAAAAGTGCAAAGCGAAGCAGCAAGTGCTATGGAGAAGCTGCAGGAAGTTATCCAGAAGATCTAGCTGAGATCATTGATGAAGCTGACTACACTAAACACAAAATTTCAATGGAGACAAAACAGCCTTCTATTGGAAAAAGATGGCCAGGCGCAGTGGCTCATGCCTGTAATCCCAACACTTTGGGAAGCCAAGGTAGGCAGATCATTTGAGGCCAGGAGCTTGAGACCAGCCTGGCCAATATGGTGAAACCCCGTCTCTACTAAAAGTACAAAAATTAGCCAGGCATGGTGGCACATTCCTGTAATGCCAGCTACTCAGGAGGCTGAGGTGGAAGAATTGCTGGAACCTGGGAAGCAGAGGTTGCAGTGAGCTGAGATCGTGCCAGTACACTCCAGCCTGGGCAACAGAGCAAGACTCTATCTAAAAATAAATAAATTAAAAAAAAAGAAAAAGATGCCATCGAGGACTTACATAGCTAGAGAAAAGTCAGTGTCTGGCTTCAAGCAACAGGCTGACTCTCTTATTAGGGGCTAATGCAGCTGGGGCCATTAAGTTGAAGCCAGTGCTAATTCACTGTTCTGAAAATCCTAATGCCCTTCACAATGATGCCCAAGCTACTCTGCCTGTGCTCTATAAGTGGAACAGCAAAGTCTGGACGACAGCACATCTGTTTACAGCATGGTTTCCTGAATCTTTCCAGCCCATTGTTGAACCCACTAAGGTTCCTTTCAAAATATTTCTGCTGTTGGACAACGTACCTGGTCACCCATGAGCTCCAAAGGAGACGCATAAGGAGATGCTGTCTTCATGCCTGCTAACACCACATCTCTTCTTCAGCCTACGGGAGTAACTTTAACTTTCAAGTCTTACCATTTAAGAAATATATTTTATAAGGCTCTAGCTGCCAAAGATAGTGATTCCTGTAATGGATCTGGGAAAAGCCAATAAAAAGCTTTCTGGGAAGGAGTCGCCATTCTAGTTGTCATTTCATGATTCATTCAATGAGGGCAAAGTGTCGACATTAACAGGAGTCTGACAGAAGTTTAGTATCAAGCCTCATGGATGACTTTGAAGGGTTCGAGACTTTGGTGGAAGAAGTTACTGCAGATGCAGTAAAGATAGCAAGAGGATTCGAAATGAAAGCAGAGCCTGAAATGGGACTGAATTGCCGCAATGTTGCCATCAATCTTGAATGAATGAGGAGCTGCTGCTTGTGGATGAGCAAAGCAAGTGGTTTCTTTTCTTTTTTTTGAGACAATGTCTCACTCTTGTCCCCCAGGCTGGAGTGCTATGGCATGATCTTGGCTCACTGCAACCTCCACCTCCTGGGTTCAAGCAATTCTCCTGCCTCGGGCCACCCTACCAAGTAGCTGGGATTACAGGCGCCTACCACCACGCCCAGCTAATTTTTGTATTTTTAGTAGAGAAGGAGTTTCATCATTGTTGGCCAGGCTGGTCTAGAACTCCTGACCTCAGGTGATCCACCCGCCTCAGCCTCCCAAAGTGCTGGGATTACAGGTGTGAGCCACCATGCCCGGCCAGCAAGTGGTTTCTTGAGATGGAATCTACTTCTGGTGAGGATGCTGTAAAGACTGTTGAAATGACAACAAAGGATTTAGGATATGACATCAACTTAGTTGATAAAACGCTGGGAGCATTTGTGAGGATTGACTCCGGTTTTGAAAGAAGGTCTGTTGTGGGTAAAATGCTATCAAATAGTATCACATGCTACAGAGACATCTTGTGAAAGGAAGAGTCCATCGATACGGCAAGCTTCACTGTTGTGTTAGGAATTGGCAACGGCCACCCCGTTTTCAGCAGCTGCCACTGTGCCTGGTCAGCAGCCATCCACATCGAGGCAGACTGTCTGCCAGCAAAAAGATGAAGACTCACTGAAGGCTCAGATGATTGTTAGCATTTTTTAGCAGTAAAGTGTTTTTAAATTAAGGGATGCACGTTGTTGCTTTAGACAGAATGCTTGTGCACACTGATAGACTACAGCACACATGAGTAGACTGCAGCGCACACCAATAAAGTACACACTTCGACGACAGTACACACGAACAGACTACAACTCACACGAATAGAGCACAGTGCACGCTTACAGACTACAGCACACGCTAGTAGACTACGCCGTACTGTTTACAGTATGGTGTAAACACAGCTCGGCTGCGTATGGGGAAGCTGGAATGTGTGTGCCTCACTCAGTTGCAGTGTAAGCGTTATCTGCAGCATCTCCGCGGGATTCCTGTAGCCCCTTATTTTCCATTTTTCTAGCAACAGTGTTACATGGGTGCACTGTCATGGTGGTTAATTCCTGTTGGGCACTTAGCTTGCTTCTGGTATTTTGATGTCACACTGAGGCGGAATAATCCTCTCATCATATCATCCTGGAAGCAGAATTGATGTATCCAAAGCTCATTTTTAAGGCTTTTAATGCATTTCACTAGAGTTCCTCCAGGGACAACGTCATTTCTTTTTCTTTTTTTTTTTGAGACAGAGTCTTGCTCTGTCACCTAGGCTGGAGTGCAGTGGTGCGGTCCCAGCTCACTGCAACCTCTGCCTCCCAGGTTCAAGCGATTCTCCTGCGTCAGCCTCTTGAGTAGCTGGTATTACAGGCGCCCACCACCACGCCTGGCTAATTTTTTGGGTTTTTTTGTTTGTTTGTTTGTTTTGAGACAGAGTCTTGCCCTGTCGCCCAGGCTGGAGTGCAGTGGTGCAACCTTGGCTCACTGCAAGCTACACCTCCCGGGTTTACGCCATTCTCCTGCCTCAGCCTCCTGAATAGCCGGGACTACAGGCGCCCGCCACCACACCCGGCTAATTTTTTGTATTTTTAGTAAAGACGGGGTTTCACCGTGTTAGTGAGGATGGTCTCAATCTCCTGACCTCGTGATCTGCCCGCCTTGGCCTCTCAAAGTGCCGGGATTACAGGTGTGAGCCACCGCGCCTGTCCAATTTTTTGTTTTTTGTTTTTATAGTAGAGACGGGGTTTCACCATGTTGACCAGGCAGGTCTCGTACTCCTGACCTTATGATATGCCCGCCTTGGCCTCCCAAAGCACTAGGATTATAGGCGTGAGCCACCGTGCCCGGCCAACAATGTCATTTCTTTTTCAGGAGTGGGGGGTATCCACAGATGAGCTCTGGCTTGTGGGGTCCAGTAAGATTGGAGGCGCTACTTGGGGAGGGTGAGCCGCTGGTCCCAGGCCAGGCCTGGCCTGTCTCCCTCATGTGACTTGAGGACCAACAGCACACTGTGGTTTTTGTCTTTATCAGCAACAAATCTGACACGCTGCCCCTGGCCACTCGGTACAACGTCAAGTGCGTGGGGCTGTCCCCGGATGGCCGCCTCGCTATCATCGTCGATGAAGGTACTTGCCCTTGATGTGGGCGGGTACTGAGGGGACCAGTGAGGAGGACTCAGGGCTGTGTGGGTCTGAAATGATCCGCTCCCCAGTCGCCTCCGTGTTGGGGCCCGGGTGGGGATTGGGGATGAGGGTGTCATGGGCGAGGCTGCGTCCCCGCCGCAGGCTGTGTCTGTGGCATCACCTGTGGCAGGGCAGGGCCTCATGGCCCTTGGGCATTCTCAGTCCTGACTCCTCACAGTGGACGCGAGAAAGACCTTTCTCCGTTTTTCCCGTGCTATGTATCTGGGGTGGCCCCTGGGGTAGCTGTGCGGTGGTGACCTCTGGCGTCCTGCAGGGGGCGATGCGCTGCTGGTCAGCCTGGTCTGCAGGTCTGTGCTGCACCACTTCCACTTCAAGGGCTCTGTGCACAGTGTGTCCTTCTCCCCTGATGGCAGGTAAGGGGGACAGCTTGGGGGCAGGAGGGTTCGGCCGTGCATGCCGACGGTGAGGCCCACTGCCCAGCTCGTTTCCCTGGGCCCCGGGTTGTGACGTTGGGTTGGGCACACGGCCCAAGCTCTGGCATTGGTGACCCCCTTTTCTGGAGGAGAAGGCTTGGTGCGGCCAGGCTGCCCTCCCTCCAGGGCTGTTTCTTCCCTGACTTTTGCTTCCTCTGCTCCTTGGCCTCCATCCTGCAGGAGGCGGGACTCCAGAAGGCCCAGGTGGGTGCAGGCTGAGACTCCACAGTGGCCTTAGGGCCATTGCTGGTCTTGAATATCAACTATGTCCGCGTTCCTTCCATAGGAAGTTTGTTGTCACAAAGGGTAACATTGCCCAGATGTATCATGCCCCTGGGAAGAAGCGGGAGTTCAACGCCTTCGTTCTGGACAAGACCTATTTTGGGCCCTACGATGAGACCACCTGCATCGACTGGACGGATGACTCCAGGTGCGGCCTCAGAGGCTTCGGGGGAGCGGGGCTTGAGAGAGGCCCCTTGGACAGGTCACCCCCTTGGGCCCTGCAGCTTCGTTCCGCAATGGCATCTCGGCCTCCTTTGGGGCTGGGCGCTGCCCACACCATCAGGACTGGCTGGGTGGCTGTGGTCGAGTCTTCGCGGCTCTGAAGTGTGTGCTGTGGCCGAGCCTCCTGCCCCTGCACTGCCCTTTCACCTGTTTGTCCCAGAAACTGGGAATGCTGTGGTTGGCTCGGGCAGCGTCTGGGAGGAGTTAGGAAGGCAGACAGGGCAGGGACAGCGTCTGGGAGGTGTGAGGAAGGCAGACAGGGCAGGGGCTGTGCCGGGGTGTCTTCCTGTGCCTGGAGGCGTCTCAGCTCACTCTGAGACCACGTGGGGCTGTAGCGGTCTCCGTGCAGCCCTCTGGAGCTTGCACCTGGCTGCTTTGTTATGGCCAAGCCCTGAGGAGGTGCCATCTCCCTCTTTTCCAGGTGCTTTGTGGTTGGGAGCAAAGACATGTCCACCTGGGTGTTCGGAGCCGAGCGCTGGGACAACCTCATCTACTATGCACTGGGGGGACATAAGGATGCCATCGTGGCCTGCTTCTTTGAATCCAACAGCCTGGACGTATGTCCCTTTGCCAAGTTCCCTAGCCTGATGGTGGCCAAAAGCGGCTAGTTCAGGGAGGCCCCAGGCTGCAGGCGGCCTCTTCCTGCGGTTCCCCCAGGCTGTTCCCGTGTGGCCTGGGGGCATCTAGGGACCGATGGCAGCTGTGGCGGCCCATCGAGAATTGTTCTCAGAGTTCAGAGGGGCCGTCGGTGCCACTGGTCCCTGGATCTGAGCTGGAGGGAGGTGCCGGGTTGTGGCAGCTGGGCCAGTGTGGCTGGGGCTGGGGTGACCCTGTGCTTCCCCTTGCAGCTGTACTCACTCAGCCAGGACGGAGTGCTGTGCATGTGGCAGTGTGACACGCCCCCCGAGGGCTTGCGGCTGAAGCCCCCTGCGGGCTGGAAAGCAGACCTGTTGCAGCGGGAGGAGGAAGAGGAGGAGGAGGAGGACCAGGAGGGCGACAGAGAGACCACCATCCGGGGAAAAGCCACTCCGGCCGAGGAGGAGAAGACAGGAAAAGTGAAGTACTCACGGCTGGCCAAGTAGGTCTCTGAGGTGTGGTGGGCTGTGGCGGGGCACTCCTGTGGGAATCTCTTGCCCCCAGAGGGATCTGGATGTGGGGTCCCCAGGGCCGAGGAGTGGGAGGTACAGAGAGCAGGCCTGCGTCTCAGGGCCCCGGTTTGAGCACCCTCGAGTGCTTGGGTGTTGACCCTGCCCCTTAAGCAGGGTCCCTGCCTCGGCTGTCTGAGCTGCCTGTGTGCCCAGGGCAGGGCAGAGGGCGGTGGGTAGGGGTGCATAGGGGGCAGGGAGGTGTGCGGGCACTCCGTGACGGGAATAGCAGCACCTTGGGCCCTAAGGGGGTTGGGAGTTGTCTGTGGCCCCACCAGCTTCTGTGGAGTTTGGTGTGGGCGATAGTCCCTTGGCCTCGTGCAGGGAGATGCCGGGAGAGCGTTTGGCAAGGGTGGAGGGAGGGACCGGGCTGTGAGTGGGCGCAGCGAGTGGTCTGAGTCCTGCTTCGGGGCCCGCTGGTGGGTGGTACTTGGTGCTTTTTCAGGCACTGAGCTGGGCCGTGCAGCCCCGCATCCGGACTCAGTCCCCCAGACGAGACGAGATGAGATGAGACTGAGCCCGGCCCCACGGACTGCCTGTGGGATGGCCTTAGCTGTGCCTGGAGCCCTGGCAGAGATGCTGCCCTGATTCGGGGTGTCCCGCGTCTGGGCTGTGGGGGAGGCTGGTCAGGATCACATGAAGGCAGAGTTGCCCGCAGCTATGGTGTCTCCGTCACCCGGGTGCCCCAGCCTGGGCCCCTCCTTGCTGCAGTTGCTTAGCGCCTGCTGTGTGCAGGGCTCTGAACTTGGCACTGAGACACACTGCCCACCCTTGTGAGGCCTCCTCTCCGCCGGGGAGGAGAGGTGCAGTGATGAGGTGGCTGCGTGCGGAGGTGGGCGGCAGTTGGGGTCCCTGGGTGGGGAAGGCGCCCACACAAGGCCCTGCCTGTGGAGGGAGCCAGGCGGCCAGAACGGGCTGCCTTTGGAGGGGTTGGGGTCTGCTGGGTAGGTGGGAGTTGTGGCCATGAGAGCCCTGGGTCTGAGGAGCAGGGAGGGCCGGCTGGACTCCAGTGGGAGGAGGGTGCTTTGCCAAGGGCAGCGGAGTTGGAGGGTGGCCAGAACAGGTCCAAGTGGGTCAGTGCCCACAAGTGAGTCAGTGCCCGCGGGTGGGTCAGTGCCCGTGAGTGAGTCCGTGCCCGTCAGTGCCCGCGGGGACTTGGGGGTGTTGTGCTGGAGTCAAGACTTGAACGGGGACTGGAGGAAGAGGAAGGGATGATGGGCCCCCCAACCCCGCCCTGGGGAAGGGAGGTTCCAGGCAGCTCCAGGAAGACAGTGTGCCTGCTAGGCGGGGACTGCGGGCTGTCAGCGCGAAACATGTGAAGGGAGGGCCTGCTGCATTGGCAGCCAGTGCTCCCTGTCACTTGTTCAGGAGGGACGGGGTCCAGAAAGGAGAGGGAAGGACCAGGGCTGAGCTACAACGTGACTTGGGGAGGTTTTGAGGGCGGGGGTGCCATCAGGGTCACCTTCGTCTGCTGATGGGGACCGAGGGTTCCTTAGAGGAGGAAGCAGCAGGGGATGATGGGATTCGGGTGTGCCTGGCGGCCATGCCGCGCCTCCCGCACCTCCTCTGCCTCCCATGGGCACTGCTGTCTCTGGGTGCACCACTAGCTCTGCTGTGGGGCCAGCTGGCGACAGTGGAGATGCTGTGTGAGGTTCCTTTGGGGTCCCGAGCTTGGGATGGAGGCGGGCAGCTTCAGGGCCTGGGGTGGAGAGGGAGAGGGCAGGTCTGGGACCTCCTGCCTGGATCTGTGGCCTGTGTCCTGGAGCCCAGAGCAAGCTGGGGTGGCAGTCTGGCTCTGCGCTCCTCCTCACAACTCTTCTCTCTCGTCAATTCAGGTACTTCTTCAATAAAGAAGGGGATTTTAACAACCTGACAGCTGCAGCATTTCATAAGAAGTCTCACCTCTTGGTCACTGGCTTTGCTTCTGGAATCTTCCATCTTCATGAGCTGCCAGAGTTTAACCTCATCCACTCCCTGAGGTAAGCCTTTGCTCGCAGTGGGGTGTGGTTTTATGCACTCACTGGCCCTGAATCTGAGGGCCCAGCCAAGCCTGCCCTTAGCAGTGGGGGCAGCAGAGCCACTTGGAGCGCCGGCTCAGGCCACAGGACGGCAGCCCGAAACCTGCCCGGCCGCTGGTGCTGGTCAGTGCGACAGTGTTGCCGCCCCCACTGGCAGTCAGCAGCATTGGTCTCGGGTCAGTCACAGCCTTTCAAGTTTTTGTCTCCGCTTTTCTTCATCTGTGAGACACAGAGAACGAAAATACTATGCTCATAAAATTGTGAAGTTGCAAGTTGTTGAACCCTGGCCTCCCCTCTGGGCCTTCTCTGATTCTTTTCTTTGAGACAGAGTCCTGCTCTGTCGCCCAGGCTGGAGTGCGGTGGCGTAATTCGGTTCACTGCAACCTCCGCCTCCCGGGCTCAAATGATCCTCCCACTTCAGCCTCCTGAGGAGCTGGGGCCACAGGTGTGCGCCACTACACCCGGCTAGTTTTTAAATTTTTTGTCGAGACGGGTCTTGCTGGGTTTTCCCAGCCTGGTCTTGAACTCCTGGGTTCAAGCAATCCTTGCCTCCGCCTCCCAATGTGCTGGGATGACAGGCGTGAGCCACTGCACCCAGCCCTCTGATACTTGAACTGAAGTGAATTGTTGAGTCTGGTGAGTGGGTGGGGTAAGCTCTGCACACAGGGATAGAATCTGGTGTCTGGGGCTGCCCTGAGTGGGCACTGGGGCTTCAGCCCGGGCAGGCTGGCCTCCCACTTACAGGCCCGTTCTCTGCAGCATCTCAGATCAGAGCATCGCCTCAGTGGCCATCAATAGCTCGGGGGACTGGATTGCTTTTGGCTGTTCAGGTTTGTCCCCAGCCTGGGTGGTAGAGATGGACTCCCCATTAGGGACCAGTGCTGCCCGGCTACAGGCTTACTTGACAGCCACCCACTGGGGGTGCCCTCCCCTCCCCCAGTTGTCTTCCATGGGGTGCCCTCTCCCCCAGCCGCCTTTCAGAAGGGGCCCTCCCCTCCCCCAGCTGTCTGCCATGGGGTGCCCTCCCCTCCTCCAGCCACCTTTCAGGGGGTGCCTTCTTCTCTTCCAGCTGCCTCCCAGGGGTGCCCTTCCTGCTCTGGCCCTCCTCAAGCACCTCTCTGTCTTAAGCCCCTTGCTCAGGGGTTGGGGGTCATAGCCTGCCTCAGTTGTGACCTGCAACCACTGGGTTGCACGGGCGGGGCCCATCACTGGCTGGTGAAGCTGCAGCATCGGGCAGTGGTCCCAGCCTATGCTTGGGGGTTTGTGCGTTTCACCCCCTGCCCGGCAGCTTTCTCAGTCCTGTGCCAAGTGGGAAGGTGGGCCGGGCCAGTCTGACCTGGGGTGGGCCTGAGCCGCGTACCCCAGCTTCCCCCGTGTGCACAGGCCTGGGCCAGCTGCTGGTGTGGGAGTGGCAGAGTGAGTCCTACGTGCTCAAGCAGCAGGGCCACTTCAACAGCATGGTGGCCCTGGCCTACTCGCCCGACGGACAGTACATCGTGACTGGCGGGGACGACGGCAAGGTAGGCTCCTGTCCCCGTCCCATTGGCCTCTGTGCCTGGGGGGCTGTGAAGATGCAGTGGTCTGTGGGGCCGTGTCTTGACGGTAGGGCTGGTGTTCACAGCTTCACCCGGGCTCATGAGCTCAGTAGGCGTTTAAAAACATACAAAAATGTGAATGGAGAGGGTTGGGTGTCCCTCTTTCCCCTTTCTGACTTGGTCTCCTGCACGGTGGTGGCTGCGTGGCGGGGAGAGGGTCTGTGGTGCCGGCAGCCGGCATCCAGCCAGTGTCCAAGGGGCTCCAGTACGTGGCCGAGGGTGGGTCCATGGTACTGGCAGCTGGCATCCGGCCAGCATCCACAGGGTTCTGGTGTGTGCAGTGCCCCTGCGGGCCATCTAGGCCTTAAATGGGCTCCTCCTGGAGGTGACAGGAAGAGACTGGGGCAGACGGCCCACTCACCACCCACTCAGCACAGCCTCAGGCCTGTTGGGGAGGCTGAGTGAGCCAGGGCAGCCGTGGGCACAGGGGCAAGGCTCTCAGGATGTGGCGTCACATGCGGGGGTCTCAGGGATGGGGTGTCAGTTGCAGGTGGGGGTCTCAGGGATGGGGTATCAGTCACAGTTGGGGGTCTCAGGGATGGGGTTTCAGTCATGTGCGGGGATCTCGGATGGAGTGTCAGTCACAGTTGGGGGTCTCAGGGATGGGGTATTACTCACGGGTAGGGTCTCAGGGATGGGGCAGTACAGGGGCAAGCATCTTAGATGGGGCGGCATGGGGACAGGGATCCTGGCCGAAGCCGTGGCACACAGGGTTGGGGTCTGCCCCTGCCCCTCCTGTCCTGCCTCAGGTCAAGGTGTGGAACACCCTCAGCGGCTTCTGCTTCGTCACTTTTACGGAGCACTCCAGCGGGGTGACCGGTGTGACCTTTACTGCCACCGGCTACGTTGTGGTGACCTCATCCATGGACGGGACCGTGCGAGCCTTTGACCTTCACAGGTGATGTTTTTGCTCCGGATTGGCTTGGGGCAGGCTTCCCCCACGCAGAGGTGAAGGTGGAGGGTGAGGCTGCAGTGCAGCTGCTGGGGCAGGGGACCCTGGCACGTGACTCTGACCTTGCCTCTTCTCTGCAGGTACCGAAACTTCCGCACCTTCACCTCTCCACGCCCCACCCAGTTCTCCTGTGTGGCGGTGGATGCGAGCGGTGAGATCGTCTCTGCAGGGGCGCAGGACTCCTTTGAGATTTTCGTGTGGTCCATGCAGACAGGCAGGCTCCTTGATGTAAGCACCCTGAGGGGCTGGGCTGGGGCTCAGGAGGGGCCCTCCTGTCTCCTGGGAGAGGAGCGCAGGGAGCTGAGGTTACACTCCGAGGGCCCATGCCCCTGGCCCAGAGCTGCCCAGAGAGCCGCCTCGGCCGCCACCTCCACTCTTCACGCCTCCTTGCTCTACGGTAGGTTTTGTCTGGACACGAAGGGCCCATCAGTGGTCTGTGTTTTAACCCAATGAAGTCCGTCCTGGCCAGTGCCTCCTGGGACAAGACGGTGCGCCTATGGGACATGTTTGACAGCTGGAGGACCAAGGAGACGCTGGCCCTGACCTCTGATGGTGAGCACGAGGCAGCAGGCAGGAGCAGCGGCCTGGGGACCAGCAGCATGCTGTCACACCCACTGCCCTGTTCCTCGTTGTGGGTTTGGTGTGAACCTTCTGGTGGGAAGCAGGGGGTGGCTTTTATCCAGACCTGCTGGTGTGGCAGCCCTTGAGGTTGGCAGTACCTAGGAGACAGCAGATTGGCGAGTCAGGCCAGCGTGGCTTCCACAAGTCCTTGTGGGGCTCCCGCTCTGTGGGCAAGTACGCCAGGCAGGAGAGAACAGCTCCCCGAGGGTGAAGGGCTGCTGCCGCAGCTGCTTCCTGATTTTCGGAGTTGCTTTGGAGCTCTGCCAGGGCTGTGTCACTGGGAGAAGGACACAGGGACCATGGGGGGCCCAGACGCTGGATGCGGCCAGTCCCGGAATCTGCAGACTGGGAGAAGGATGAGGGGGCCATAGGTGGGCCCGGAAGCCAGATGCGGCTGCCCAGGGATCTGCAGACTGGCCTCAGGCCACTGCCTGTCTTTCTGACGGGGCTGTACTAGAGGCAGCCGTGGCCTCCTGTGTTCATATGGTCTGTGGCTGTCAATGCCTCAGCGGCGGTGTTGAAAGACCACGTGGCTCACAAAGACCCAGCCCATCCATGTCCGGGTGTGGACAGACTCTGCCATCCCAGGAGGCTGGTTCTCTCTGCTTCCCGCTGCCTCACCCCACCCCCAGGCCTGGCATTGGCCAGGCTTTTGGCATCACATGTGGCTTCTTTGCAGAGGCTCTGTATTCTAGTCTGTCCAGCCGCCCTCAGTAACCACCATCACTCACCCATCAGCCTCACCTTCCCAGCGCCCCCTCCATCGGCCTTTGTGGGTCCTGTGGCCCCAGCTGGACCGCCTGGTGCTCTTCACTGGCGCTGAGTTGTTCCTCACCTGTCTGGGTTGGAGCTTCTCCTGGGAGGAGATTCTTGTGTACCAGACCAAACAGGCGCTGGTCTCTTAGGGGTGCCAGGGCACGGCCTGGTCTCCAGCCAAGGGTGGTTGGTGGCCTGCCTGCGGGAGACTGGGGTCTTCGTTGGGCCTTACTTTGCATCTCTGTTTAGCTCTGGCTGTGACTTTTCGCCCTGATGGTGCGGAGCTGGCTGTGGCCACACTGAACTCACAGATCACCTTCTGGGACCCTGAGAACGCGGTGCAGACGGGCTCCATTGAGGGCAGGCATGACCTCAAGACTGGCAGGAAGGAGCTGGACAAGATTACAGCCAAGCACGCGGCCAAGGGGAAGTGAGTGTCAGCATCGGGCCTCCTGATTTGAGACCCCAGCCAGCCACCAGGCTCCTGCAGCTTCTCCATTTTTGGCCTTGTTCTTTGTTCCTGAGACCGCTGAGTCCCTGTGGGTGGAGGCAGGTGGTCCTGAGCCCTCTGGGGAGAGTCCATGTCCTCCTTAACTCCTGGGATCGCACAGCCCCCAGCACAGGAGGACGTCTGGATTTACTGAACATAAACTTGTTCAGCTGAGAGCTTGCATCCACTTCCAAACCTTGATCCTGAATTATGACATCGTCCTGGTGTGCAGAGGGGAGAGCAGCCGGGTGCCCGAGCTCACACTGGAGACCTGGCACTTGGGGAGGCTGAGGCAGGTGGTTTGCTTGAGCCCAGAAGTTTGAGACCAGCCTGGGCTACGTGGCAAAATGCCATCTCTACAAAAAGTAGAAAAATTAGCCAGGTGTGGTGGCACATGTCTGTGGTCCTAGCTAGTCGGGAAGCTGAGGCAGGAGGATCGCTTGAACCCGGGAGGTCAAGGCTGTAGTGAGGATGGCGTCATGCCATTGCACTCCAGCCTGGGTGCTAGAGCAAGACCCTGTCTCAAAAACAAAACAAACAAAAGCAGAAAACAGCCCTGGCAGCCTCCTAAGAGTAAAAATGCAGGTCCTCAGTCACCTCACTTGACTAGAGAGTGCTACGTGGATGGTGAAGACATAGTGTCCCCTTGTCTCAAGGAGTCGGGCCAGCACAGCACTGACCAAATTGCCTGCGCGGGGTCCTGGCTGGGCTGTGAGGCTCACCTGGGTGGGGGTCAGGCTTAGGAGAAGGGGGAGGATCTGTGGGATGTGCCCGGGGTGGGTGGCCTTGGGGGCTGGACCTGTGTCCCAGGAGCTCAGAAGCCTGTTCAGCAGAGGGTCTTCCTCCAGAAGGAAGTAGCGACCCTGTCTTGGAAGTGGTATGAATGCCTGTGTGCAGTCCTCATGGGTTCGCCCTGAGTGTGGAACTGCTGGGTGCTGGTGGTTCTGTTTCCAGCTTGGAGGAGCTGCACGGTTGCCATTCCCACGAGGAACGCTGTCGGCTTCTGGCTTCTCCACCTCCTCGCCAGCACTTGTTGCTTTATTATTATTATTTTTTTAATGAGAGCTGTTGGGGTGGATGTGAATTCGTATCTCATTGTAGTTGTGATTGTGGTTTCTCTAGTGACATTCAGCATTTTCTGTCTGCGGCTTGGCCGTTTGTAAGTCTTCTTTGGAGAAGTGTCTGTTCAGGTCTCTTGCCTGTTTTTGAATTGGGTTGTTTGGATTTTGGTTGTGGATTTTAGGGGTTTCTCTGATACCTGATGTGCAGATATTTGTTCCGCTTTGTGAACTGTCTTTCCACCGTTTTGGTGGCACTCTTAGTTCTGATGATGTCCACTTTGCTCATTTTTTCTGTTGTTCTTTGTTCTCTACTGTCATAACTAAGGGACCTTGCCCACCCCGAGGCGTCTGTTGAGCGGGGTGGTAAGGGCTGGTTTCTGGTTTCTGCAGGACTAAGCAGACGTGACTGAGAGTAGGCTGCTTAGGGTGGAGGCCGACTGGTCGCCGTTTTGTGCTGACCTCAGCAGGGAACACTGTTCCTTGAGCCACTTGTTCCTTTTGTGAAAAAGACATTGATTCTCAGGAAGCGGAAGCATCTAAGGGTGGTGCTGGCTCAGAGCGGAACCAGGTGATGGCACCATTGGACATTGTGGGTTTTAAAAGTCTCGCGTGAGTTGAGGCAGCGAGCCTTGGCGAAAGTTGCTGAGGCTGGTGTTTGCTTCCTGGAGGGCTGGTATAGGATCTCCTCTATTTCCTAAGGTTAGTTTTTATTTTATTTATTTTTATTTTTATTTTTATTTTTGATTTTTGACACGGTCTCGCTCTTGTCACCCAGGCTAGAGTACAGGAGTGCAATCATGGCTCACTGCAGCCTCCAACCCCTGGGCTCAAGTGATCCTCCCACATCAGCCTCCTGAGTAGCTGGGACTACAGGCATGTGCCACCGCACCCTGTTAATTTTATTTTTTGTAGAAACAGGGTCTTGGTATATTGTCCAAGCTTGTCTTGAACTCCTGGACTCAAGCAATCTTCCCAACTCAGCCTCCCAAAGTGCTGAGATAACAGGCGGGAGCCACCATGCAGGCCTAAAGTTGGTTTTTAGGAGCCATACGCTGAGGTTTCCGTGGTGGCCACCGTAAGTCCATGTCTCCTCTCCACCCAGGGCCTTCACCGCCCTGTGCTACTCTGCAGACGGCCACAGCATCCTGGCGGGAGGCATGTCCAAGTTCGTGTGCATCTACCACGTCCGTGAGCAGATTCTCATGAAGAGGTTCGAGATCTCTTGCAACCTGTCTCTGGACGCCATGGAGGTGAGCCGCCAGCGCGGGGCCGGATGGATGTTGCTTCCAATGCAGGTGGAATGCGTCGGGCTCCTGCGTTCTGCACTCCTGGCTCCATGGGGCCTTGGGCACAGTTGTGGTGCTTGTCCTGTATCTAAGTGCACGGGCCCCTCACCTGCCCCAGCAGAGTCCGGCCGTGAAGCCAGCGCCTGCCTCAGCTGTGTGTGGAGCCACGGTCCCCAACCCTTTTGGCATTTGGGACCGGTTTCGTGGAAGGCAATTTTTCCACAGACAGGGTTGGGGGGATTGATTTTGGGATGAAACTGTTTCACCTCAGATCAAGATCACCAGGCATTAGATTCTCAGAAGGAGGGTGCAACCTAGATCCCTCACGTGTCGTTCACAATAGGGTTCGCACTCCTGTGAGAATCTAATGCTGCCACTGATCTGTCAGGAGGCGGAGCTCAGGTGGTGATGCGAGCAATGGGGAGCGGCTGTAAATTCAGATGAAGCTTCACTCATTCACCTGCCCACCACTCACCTCCTGCCGTGCAGCCTGTTTCCTAACAGACCATGGGCCAGTACCAGGGGTTGGGAACCACTGCTGTGGATGACCCTGCCGAGGCTGGTTGCTAGGAGGCTGGAGCTGTGAGGGGCAGTGCCCAGCACACGCTGGCTCAGGAGACACGGACATCTGTCAGGGAAGGAGTGAACGAAGAGGGTGCTGGTAGGCCCTGCCCGATGGCTTCCTGCCCAGGGTCCTGTGTACAAGGCTCTGCCTTCACTGTCCCCACTGGTGCCTGCCCTTCCCCCTCAGCACAGCCCTCGGCTCAGGTCCCACTCACATGCTGGCTCCTGCAGGACCTCAGAATGAGAGTGAGGAAGCCCTGGTAGCCTCTAAGCAGGGGTGTGGCTGCTGGGTTCACCTGTCCACGCCCCATCGGGGCAGAAGCCCACTGTCCCCTAAATGTTTCTGGGGGAAAGTGTCCTTGGCATTTTCACAAGGGAGTAGACGGCCATCCTCGCTGTGAGCCCCAGCCTTTGTGATGGTGGCAGCAATGCCAGCATGTAGACCTCAGTCCATCCCCCTCCGCAGCCTCCGCACCTGCCCTGCTCCACAGCTTCCACACCCACCCTGTCTGCAGCTAGCTCTGCAGGAAGAGTCCCTGGGGCACTGCAGGGCTCTCTCCCCGTCCTTGTTCTAGACAGGGCTGAGGCTTGTCTGGTGTTGGGGTCAAAGAGCAAGGGTAGGAGACGAGGGCCAGGCGGCCAGGCCATCAGAAGCAAGGCGTCCACTGCTTTTGCTGTTCTAGGAATTTTTGAACCGAAGAAAAATGACAGAGTTTGGCAACCTGGCACTAATTGATCAGGATGCTGGGCAGGAGGATGGAGTCGCGATACCACTGCCAGGCGTCAGGAAAGGTGAGCAGAGGTTCCTCCCGCATCTGCCCACCACTCACCGGTCCTGGGTGACCACGCATTCATGCCCCTGGTTGGGGCTGCAGTGTGTGGAAATAACAGTTACTACATGGTGACATTTGCTGGACACTGGGGGTGTCAAAGGCCCAGTGGGTTGGTGCTGGTGCCGTCAGCCCCTGGGCAGGAGAAGCTGCCCATGTGTTGCTACACGTGGCCTCCCTGCCCTGGCGGGACCCGTCCATTTGCTCTTGGGACTGGGTGCCCCGTCTGCTGCACAGCACACGGAGCATTCTGGCGTGAGGCCATGTGCGCCGCACAGAGAGCCAGGTGCTCTAGAAGATCTGGGTCCCAGGTAGACCATCCTGATGGGACACTCGCCAGCCAGAAACCCTGAGTGCTTCCATATGCAGGCCCAGGGTACCGTGTTGAGCACAGCAGACCCACTCCTGGGCTGGGCTGGGGCCCTTTTCTGGGTTGGACACACAGTCTGCTGGCCGGGCTGGCTTTTTTGAGCATCTGCCCCATGGGCTGGGCCATCTGTTTGGCAGCTCACCCGGAACAGCCTCCGCGGCCCCAGCACGGGCCCACCTGCCGCAGCTGCAGCGAGGGAAGGGCTGCTTCTGCCTCCGCTTTGTGCAGGACCCAATGAGTAGAGGCTGCTGCTCTTGATGGGGCTCCCACAGCACCCCCCAGCCAGCCGGGAGACCGCAGGATGACTTGCTTCGTGGGGAGAGCAGCCTGGATATGCTGTCCAGTGATCATTAACGGTTCTTTTTTCCCCAGGTGACATGAGTTCTCGGCACTTCAAACCTGAGATCAGGGTGACCTCACTCCGCTTCTCTCCCACTGGTGAGCACTGAGCCATGGGCTTTTGGTGCCGGTGGGCACTGGGGCATCTGTGCCATAGCAAGGCTGGCCACCATGGAGCTGTCTGCAGGCTCTGGGCTGTGCCCTGTGCCCCTGGGTAAGAACATGGCCCTGCAAACCCTGCAGGCCACAAGATGGCTGTTGTCCCTGAGGATGGATGGCTGTCACGGTGCCAACCTCAGATGCACTGAGCTTTGAAACATGGCAGGCCTGGTATGCCCTTGCTCTAGCAGCTCCCCGAGTGCCCTGGACGTGCTGCCTGGGGGCGGCTCTGCCATCACGGAGAGCCCGTCTCCTGCGCACTGCCCCCATCCTCTCGCAGTGGGGAGGAGGGTCTGTGCCACAGGCCTGTGGAGCCTGGCGGTGCACATGGTCCCCACACAGAGGAGCCAGGAGCAGGGCTATTGGCAAGCGTGCTCCAGCCTAGACTGAGTGTCAGAGCCAGGGGCAGAGAGGCCCATGTGAGCCAGGGGTCTGTGCCCTCGGGCCCAAGGGCCAAATCTGGCTGGCCACCTGCTTTGGTCACTGATGTTTTACTGGGACATTTTACTGGGCGTTTTTTTGTTGGCGGATCCTTCTGGCTGTCTCTAGTGATCCGTGCAGCACTGAGTAGGTGCAGCAGAGACCACAGGGCCTGCGGAGCTGAAGACGCCTGAGCTAGACAGAAGACTTGGCTGGCTCCCGGCGTCAAGAGAGGACGACGCATGCGTGTACATATTTGCTTATATGTGCATCCCTGGGAGAGTAACTTCTGGGATGATCCATTCATTCCTTCCCAGGGGAGTAGTGGGGTGGGGGCTAGAGGCAGACGTCCCGGTTCCTCCTGATTTTTGCACTTTGTCCCAGGGGAATGTACTTAATACTGTTTCTTTAAAAAAAAAAAAAAAAAGAAAAAAAATGTTGGGAGGAATGAGCTTAAATTTTTAGGAAAGCACTGCTTAATTTCCCAGGGCGCTGCTGGGCGGCCACCACCACGGAGGGACTCCTCATCTACTCCCTGGACACCCGCGTGCTCTTTGACCCGTTTGAGCTGGACACCAGCGTCACCCCCGGGAGGGTGCGCGAGGCACTGCGCCAGCAGGACTTCACCAGGGCCATCCTCATGGCCCTCCGGCTCAACGAGAGCAAACTGGTGCAGGAGGCCCTGGAGGCGGTGCCCAGGGGCGAGAGTGAGTTGGGGCTTCGGTGTCGGGCGCCGGGGTCATCCTCTCTTCCCCTGGTTTGAGTTGGTGGCAGAATAAGCATGATTTTTTCTCCTTTTGCAGTTGAAGTGGTCACCTCCTCCCTTCCTGAACTGTATGTGGAGAAAGTGCTGGAGTTTTTAGCTTCCTCCTTTGAAGTGTCTCGCCACCTGGAATTCTACCTCCTCTGGACTCACAAACTGCTCATGTTGCACGGACAGAAGCTGAAGTCCAGGTAGAGGGTCTCCCCCGCAGTTCATCGGTGGCTCAGGTCACTGGACCAGCTTGTCCTGCTGGATAAAAGGGAACTTTGACATGCCAATGCAGCATGAAGTGAGCCCACTGTACCACGGGGTGAGCCCCGCACGCTTAGGGAGTCTCCCTTTCAGAGCCGGGACGCTGCTGCCTGTCATTCAGTTCCTCCAGAAGAGCATCCAGCGGCACCTGGACGACCTGTCGAAACTGTACGTGTGGGTGCAGGGCCTGGGGGTGGGTGGGGTGCACGGTCCCCTGCTGGTCCACACTGTGGAGTGCTCCTTGTGTCATCTGATTTGAGGACAAAAGGAACCAGTGCTGGAGGCTTGTCTTCTCACCTGCGGGTGAACTGCACCTGCCCGGCCACCCCGTGGTTGACCAGCTTGGGAAATGGCCTGGCGCTGAATGGAAAGCAGTGAGCACTGTGGCAGGCAGACAGGCTGCAGGTGGCGCGCTCCAGGTGCGGCCGGAATCCTCCAGGCTCTTGGAGGGATTGCTGCATTCGTAGGACCAGGCAGCCTTTCCTGAATTTGCAGGTCACTTGCACAGGCAGTGGGGGTGGTCACAGGACTGTGAGGCCAGGCAGCCTGGAGTCCTGGAGGTGTGGCTGCCCTGAGCTGTGGCTCCCCTAGAAAAGGGTGCTGTTGCTGCTGCTGCGAGGATTCATCCGCGGGCCTAGGACAGGGCCCGGCCCTCCGCAGTGCTCACTCTGCAGGGGTGCCCGCCTCTTCTCCTGTCATTTCTTTGTGGTTTGTGCCTTTTTTGTCCCTACCAATTCACCTTCCCTAAAGGTCCTGCAGAGCCGGGACTAGGCAGGCCTCAGAGTAGCCATGTGAGGGATATCACCCTCTGTTGCCAATCAGTTGCCGGGTTTCCCAGCTGCGTTTCTGAACGGTCTGTTCTCTGTCCTGTTTGCGAGTTGCTCTGTCCAGGGTTCAGGGGCAGAGCCTGAGTTTGGGCCTTGTGGGTTCATGTGGTCCTCCTGTCTGTCCTTGAAGTGTCACTCAGTCTTTGGAAAGAGTCCTGGAGTCCAGGTCGAGCCTGTCCTCCCCTCGTGTTCTGGGTGCCCTACAGAAGGCTGGGATGTGCCCTGATCCACAGTTTTGGTGCCAGGCCTTCCCTCGGCTGAGATGTCCTGGACTTTTCACAGAGCTCTGTAGGGGAGGAGGGTTGTCTAGCTCCCTTATTTATGTATTTATTTATTTTTTAATTCATTATTATTATTATTATTATTTGAGATGAAGTCTCGCTCTGTTGCTTAGGCTGGAGTGCAGTGGCGTGATCTCGGCACATTGCAACCTCTGCCTCCCAGGTTCAAGCAATTCTCCTGCCTCAGCCTCCCAAGTAGCTGTGGTTACAGGCACACGCCACCACCCCCAGCTAATTTTTGTATTTTTAGTAGAGACAGGGTTTCACCTTGTTGGCCAGGCTGGTCTGAAACTCCTGACCTCAGGTGATCTGCCTGCCTCTGCCTCTCAAACAAAGTGCTGGGATTATAGGTATGAGCCACCATACCCGGCCCAGCTCCTTTAGATTTATTCCCTCTTATGGGATGTTTTTAGAGTTCACGTAAGCGCATTGTTCCTTGGACCTCCTGTCTAGGCGTTCACTGCCAATCTGTAGGGTTGCCATTGGCTGTCAGGAAGAGTCCTGCACAGAGGGTCCTGTGCCCTGCAGATGCGATGGGGCGCTTCCTTCCTTTCTCATCCATTTATCTTTCAGTTCTCCTTTCCTATGTAAAGTGATGGTGGCATCACTTTTCTCCTTTATTCCATTAACTCAGAAAATTAACTGATTCAGAGCGTGCCTTCCTCCCCTCTCGCTCCACAACACCACATAGCTCTGCAGCGGTCTCTTCCTAAGTGTTTGGTGGAACTTGCTGGTGAAGCCATCTAGATTGGGCCCAGCGGAAGGGCTGAGCTGCCAGGATGACCCCAAAGGGATGGGATGTTACAGTTGGGTCCTTGGGTCCTTGAAGGCCTTTGCTGCCCCAGGGCTGGATGGGGCAGAACCAGATTGTTGGGGCAGGGAAAAGAGGAAAAAAATGGCTGCTGGGGTGGAGGAACCGGCATGTCCAGCCCCTGCTGCTTTTCTCAGGGGTCACAGAGGAGGTGGTTGGGTGCAGGACAGGCCAGGGCCTGGGCGTTGCTGGCATTGACCATCCCTGTGTGATTGACAGCTGTAGCTGGAACCACTATAACATGCAGTACGCACTAGCAGTTTCCAAGCAGCGGGGCACAAAACGCTCCCTAGACCCGCTGGGAAGTGAGGAGGAGGCAGAAGCATCTGAAGATGACAGCCTGCATCTGCTTGGAGGAGGAGGCAGAGACTCAGAAGAAGAGATGCTGGCCTAGAGCCAGCCGGTTGCAGCGTTGGATTGTGCCGGCTAAGACCTGCCAGGGAGATGGGACCCTTGTGCCACCTGGGCCAGCAAAGAGGAGGGGTCCAGAGAACAGCTGAAATACTGTCACTAGTGGTAGTGACTTGCTTTTCCTGTGCACACATGTAGCCCATCAGGACAGCGAGCCGACGGGTCACGCCAGGGGCCGGCAC
The DNA here is from genome assembly GCF_000001405.40 of Homo sapiens. Taxonomy (NCBI): domain Eukaryota; kingdom Metazoa; phylum Chordata; class Mammalia; order Primates; family Hominidae; genus Homo; species Homo sapiens. Next base: position 5,131,081 of record NC_000021.9, on the reverse strand, counting down.
GCACTGGCACCTGGCCCCAGGAGCGGGGCCGTGTGAACGGTGATGAATGTTGAAAATGCGTCTCAGAGAGGTATTCACATGAACTTTGTATGAGACTTATTTATATTTTTAACATAAAGGTTTGATAAAGAACTTAGGGATTAAAAAAAAGATGGAGTTTTCTAACGTGAGGATGAAGTCTACACTTCAGATTAAAAAGGGTTATGTTGTATCCTGCTGTCTTGTGGGGGCTCAAGACCTGCCTGCCTTACCACCAGGGCCTCCGTCCTGGGGAAGCAGGCTGACAGAGCAGGGTGCTCCTGCTGTCTAGCGGGGGCTCTGCCCTGTGACCTGTGCATATCCTTGGGGTCAGGGGCACAGAGCCTCTCCCTGACCTCTTGGGGACGCTTTGGAGTCTGGGGCTGGGATTGGCCTGTCTTGGTGAGCTCACTCAGACCTGCACCAGCTCTGCGTGGGCCACACGGAGGAGGAGACAGCTCCTCCCCTCTGCAGTGCCCTTGGGAATAGTCATCATGAGAGAGGCTTGGGTCTCCATCATGGTAGGGCATCCTGGTCCCCACAGCTCAGTAACAGCAGCCTCCAGGGTCAGGACCTGAGGCTGACACTGAGGTGGGCACTTCACCGACTGCCAGTGCTGTCTGCCAGGCCCAGCCTGTCCCTCGCCAGCGGTGTGGCCCCCAAGACCCTGGGTAGTACCTGGCTCCCTTGCTTATCTGGGAAGTGGAGCTGATATCTGCCTGCCGGCCTCCCGGGGGTGGCGTGAGGCCAGATGTGCTAGAGAGTGGAGATGAATACGACAGGCAGTGCCTTGTGGCCCACAGCACTGTACCTGCAGGCCTGCAGACCAGAGGTCTTTGTAGAAGGGAGGAGCTCAGGCCCTGATGACACCAGGTGTTCTGTGGCTGCACAATCTCCGTGACCCAGACGAGAGAGAATCCTTAGCTATCGCCTACCCAAAGCACAAGTTCCAGTGTTCCCCTCCCTTGCCTCGCCCTTTTCCGTGAAACAATTTCCAGCGTTCCCCCTCCTCGCCTCACCCTTTTCTGTGTCACATGTGCATGGCGATGGACACCTGAGTAGTCGCCCCTGGGACAACTGGAGCTGCGGCTCTGCAGTGGGGTCTGGGAGCTCCCGGCCAGGGGCAGCTCCCGCACACTTGGTAGAGACAGGGTCCTGGCCCCCACACCGACTGAGTGAGAGTCTGCATTCGGCATTTCCTTTCTGAGTGGCGCTTGGTGTTTTTTTGTGCCATCCCACAACCCCATCGCTCCCACCAGCTGATGCTCCCTGGCTGGCCGCTCCCCAGGAGCTGAGAAGCCTGAAGAGGGCCAGGCACGGAGGAGCAGGAACGAGGACAGTCAAATGTGCCAAGCTTGTCTTTGGTTGTAACTGGTAATGTCCCATGTCTGTTATTCTAGTTCCCCACTATCTTGCAAGGATTGGCAGTAAAGTCCTAGTGATGGACAACGCGGCAGTGGGGAAAGTGACAGCCGTGGCTAGATCATCAGATGTGTCTGTAGAATCCGGTGTGTCCCTGTGAACATCCGCCAGCAGTAACCATTCACATTATTTCAAAAACCTGCATTATTAGGTTGAAAATGGGTAAATCGGGGAAAAAGCCAGCACTTATCCAGCTATTCCTCTGTGAACTAACCCATGCATAACAAACAGATTTTTTTAATGGAAGAATTCCAGCTAGGACCCGAGCAGCTGGGATCTTCACACTGACCGTCCATGCTGTGAACGTAAAAAACAAAAACAAAAAAACAAACCCAAACAGTGCCCGGGAATGGTGGCTCACGCCTGTAATCCCAGCACTTTGGGAGTCCGAGGCGGGCAGATCACCTGAGCTCGGGAGTTCAAGACCAGCCAGACCAACATGGAGAAACCCCGTCTCTACTAAAAATACAAAATTAGCCTGGCGTGGTGGCGCATGCCTGTAGTCCCAGCTACTTGGGAGGCTGAGGCAGAAGAGTCGCTTGAACCTGGGAGGCGGAGGTTGCGTTGAGCCGACTTCGCGCCATTGCACTCCAGCCCGGGCAACAAGAGGGAAACTCCGTCTCAAAAAAAAAAAAAAAAAAACCCAAACAGAATCGGCGGCTCACTTGCCCCCAGACTAACCCAGATCAAGCCCCTGGGTGGAACTGCAGTTTCCAGGATACAACATCCCGGGGTCAGTAAAACCCGGAGGGGTCGCTCCGTGGGAGCCGGAGCCGCGAGGAGACAGTCATGGAAGCGGAGGGGTAGTCCTGACCCCGCGTGGGTCCTGACGCCGAGATTAAGACGAGTGGCCATTTAGGAGGATGTGGACCCTGGACGCTCGTGGTGAGTTAAGGATGAGACGGAGGTAAGGTAAGAAGCGCCGGACTGAGCCGCCCCGAGGCAGCCTTGCTCTGCGGATGGCGGAAAGGGTGCGCCGCCTGTGGAGGCGTCCGATGGGGGCGGGGCTGGGGACCCCGGGAGTCACCAGCATCCCTCAGCCTCGAGCACGAGCCCTCAGCCACCACCGGAAGGAAGACAGGGTTCCCGGAACTCTATTCGGAGGCTCTGCGCAGGCGCGGCCCCCGCCCACCGGCGCACTCACTGGATAGGGCTGAGACGGGGGCGGGTCTTGGCTCCGCCCCGAAGGCTGCGCAGGCGCAGTCCCGACGAGCAACGCGTTTGTAGAGGGGTGGGTGCGCACGCTCTGTCCCTGCGTGACCTTCCGACCCCGCTGTCCTCACCGCAATGGCGGCTGTGAGGGCCCTGGTGGCCTCGAGGCTCGCTGCGGCATCTGCATTCACGTCCCTGTCCCCCGGCGGTCGGACGCCTTCCCAGCGCGCAGCCCTTCACCTCTCCGTGCCGCGCCCCGCGGCCAGGGTCGCGCTGGTGAGTGGACGGAGGGGGTGAGGTCAGCTCCCGCCTCCAGAGATCAGCCTTCGCTGTTCTCTGCCCAAGGTCGGCCCCTCTTCCTAGGTCCGCTCCCGCCGCCCCACGTCGGCTCCTTCACCCCAAGTCAGCTCCTGCGGCCCAGGTCGGCCCCATTTTCCCGGGTCAGCGCCCGCGGCCCAGGTCGGCCCCTTTCCCCCCAGTCAACTCCCGCCGCCCAGGTCGGCCCCTTTCCCCCGGGTCAGCTCCCGCTCCTCTCGCAGGTGCTGTCTGGATGCGGAGTCTACGATGGGACCGAGATCCACGAGGCCTCGGCGTAAGTCCTCAGGGGCAGCTGGTCCTCCACCCCGGGGGCCTCGAGAAGGCCTCTCCACCAGTGAAGTTTACTCTTTTTTGAACAGCTTAGAGAAAGCATGTATTTTATTTTATTTTTACTTTTTGTCTTTTGAGACAGCGCCCAGTCTGGAGTGCAATGGCGCGATCTTGGCTCACTGCGGCCTCCGCCTCCTGGGTTCAAGCGATTCTCCTGCCTCAGCCTTCCGAGTAGCTGGGACTACAAGCATGCACCACCACACCCAACTAATTTGTGTATTTTTGGTAGATACGGAGTTTCACCATGTTGGCCAGGCTGGTCTCAAACTCCTGACCTCAAGTGATCCTCCCGCTTTGGCCTCCCAAAGTGCTGGGATTACAGGCATGAGCCACTGCACCCGGCCGAGAGAGCTTGTATTTTAAATACCCTATTCTTGGCTAAAAAAAAGCAAAAACGACTTGCAAAACCCAGGGAGACGCTAAGAAAGAACAGTTTTTAAGTGTCGCTTATACTGTCACCTAGAGCCTAGAAATGACTTAGCATTTCACTTGAGTGTTTTTCAGGACACACACATTTTGAAAACACTGAGATCACACTCACCCGTGTTTTGCAAATGTTTCTGACGCATGGGAAGTAATTCCCATTCATTCAGTTCTCAACATCATTTTAACAGTTGCGTGGTATTTCTGGGTCCTAGACAGGTTACTGTTTACGTAACTGGTCAGCTGTTGCTGAGTGCTTGGTGGCCTGATTTCCTGTGCTACTGGAAATGACTGCAGGCCGAACCAGTAGGGCAGGAGGCCACCACGCGTGCCAGGTACCTGTAGTTCCCATGTGGTTCAGGGTGAACTGGAGAGGGGAGAGCTGGGTGGTGGCGAAAGGGGTGTCAGGCCATGGAGAGTGGCCTGAGGCTGGTGGCTTTGTGGGTGGCCCACCTTGGCTGGTTGGAGTTGGCACTAGGCAGAGTGAGCTGGGGGAAAGGGCCAGGATGTGTTTCATGATTTGGCCTTGGTGGGATAGAAAATAGCCCCAGAATAGCTTGAGCTCTCCCAGGCAGAACGGCAGGGTCTTGTGTCTGGGGTGTCTGGGTGGATTTCTTATGGGTAGCGGAACCCAAGTGCCAGGGCCAGGTGCTGACCTCTCCCTCTGGCAAGTCACTGCACTTCATGCCTCGGTTTCCTCCTCCACGTAAGGGGCAGTGAGGGCTTAGTGTGTGGGTGGGCTTAGCCACCTATCTCCTGTTGGCACTGGGAGTTGCGGATGCCAGCGTGAGCCCCCATAATGTCAGCTGTTGTCCCCAGGAGGAGCTTCTGTTGCCCTTGCCCTTGGGGAGATGGAGCTGCCTGGCCTGTGGTGTTGTCCTGGGGTCTCTTGTGTCTCTCCCACCATCTGTGATGGGAAAGTTGAGGGAGACTAGAAATTGAACTAAGTAGTGACCGAAAGCCCCGTCACACCGTCTGTGCACGTGGCACTCTGAGCACACTGCTGCTTCTCACTCTTGGTGCTTGCAGCAAGCAACTGGAGGAGGGCAGCCAGGCCCTGGGTGTAGGTAGAGCACTCAGCAGCCGGGGACCCGCACGCCTCCAGGCTGTGCCCTCAGTGGAGTCACCCGGCCCCCATACCCCAGTTTGCAAAGGGAGCTGTTGGGACCAGCTGATCTCCATAGCCCACTTCTGAGGGTTTGTCATAGTCGTAACCCACCAACCGACAGTGAATTGGAATGGGGGTGTGGGGGACGTTTGGCTTGGTATGGAACCAACTGTAACTTTTTGCAGAGCAAGTAAGATATTAATATACATTAGGAATTTGCTCCTGGTACTTAGCTAAAATCCTGTTTTTAAAAATGTGTTAACACAAATCTGAGTGGGGCACGTTTTGAAGAGTTGTCTCTGGTTTTCCCCCGTGCAGGATCCTGGTGCACCTGAGCCGTGGAGGGGCTGAAGTCCAGATCTTTGCTCCTGACGTCCCTCAGATGCACGTGATTGACCACACCAAGGGGCAGCCGTCCGAAGGCGAGAGCAGGTGTGGGGGTGGGATTGGAACTTGCTTCTTGTCTACCTCCCACGGTGCAGCCTTTTTTTGCTGGCTTAGCTTAAACCAAGTCTTGTGTGCAAATGAACGTCCTTCTGAGCAGCTGTGCTCGGGCTGTTCCGGAAGTAATGCTGCCAAGGCTCAGGAGTGCCTTCCTTCCAGTACTCACAGAAGGACTGAAAATGGCGACCGGATCGCTTCCCACTGAGTCAGGCTGCTCATACCTTGGTCTTAAGCAAAGGTGGTGGTTCTCAGCTTGGTCGCCCACCTTCTTCCCCTGTCTGGGCTCCAGATCTGTTTTGCTGGTTCCCAGCAGCATGTCTGTTACTGCGGTGTGTGTGGTTCTGGCCTGTGTGGCCTGAGATCCCCTTCCCTTGCCTGTCCTGCCTGACAGCCCTGTGCAGGCCATTCCAAGGTGCCTTCCAACTGGCCTCGGACCACGAGAGGTCGGAGCTGGAGATTCGAGGAAGAAGCCATAGCTGCCTCCTGGGGCTGTGCTTCTCACCAGTGGGGACCCCTGTGATTTCTTTTCCTGCCTGGGACCCTGGCTTCTGCACCTGGACTTGCACCTTCGGCCCCCACACCTGGGGGCTAGCAGCTTCCTGCGGTGGCTGGCCTTCGGGTTGCTTCACTGGTCCTGAGTCCTGGCTTCTTACCTTCCCCTCTGAGTCCCACCGTCCTGATGAGTGCACAGAATTCTGTCTGCTTTAGACACTCGGAGAGACTTCCATTTCCCATGGGCCTTGACTGCAGAAGATTCAGAGTGATTTGGCGCAGGTTCTGAAGTGCTGATCGGAAGAGCCCAGCATAGATTTAGCGTTGCTAGAACCATGTTGTCTTTCCAGGTAGTGACCAAACATGCTGACCTGGAAGTAAGTCCCCGTGTGGCTGAGAGCCACGTGTGTGGAGCGTGTTGCCTGTGGGCTGTGCCCCTGCCGCGCTCCACAGTCCTTCACCTGCATGCTGAGGCTTTTTGCCCTGTGCTCTTTCCCAGGAATGTTTTGACCGAGTCTGCGAGGATCGCCCGTGGCAAAATCACAGACCTGGCCAACCTCAGTGCAGCCAACCATGATGCTGCCATCTTTCCAGGAGGCTTTGGAGCGGCTAAAAACCTGTGCGTATTTGAGCTCCAAGGTCTTCCGCTTTCCATGTGGAGCAGATGGGAAGGGGGTGCACCTGTCTGCTGTCCAATGTGGTCAGTGGAGCGGCGATGGGAGGGGGTGGTGATAGGAGCAGTCTCTGGGTTTAGGGTCTGGGCAGGGCACGTGCCTGCCCTCTGACTTGGGAGCTGTTCTTAGGGTTGGGTCTTAGGTAGCGTTGTAGCGAGCCATGCTTTTGTTTCTGCTTCTCTGCTGCCTCTTCTCTCAGCATTCCTGGTACCCAGCAGCTTGTCAGAGTGGGTTTGGGGCTCCCTCTTATCTCATCACTGTGCTGTAGGTCTCGTCACGTTGAAATCAGTCTCTGAGTATTTACTCCTTGCAAGTGCCAGTTTTTTTTCTCTCTCTCTCTCTTTTTTTTTTTTTTTTTCTGTAGAGATGAGGTCTTGGTCTGTTGCCCAGGCAGGGATGCAGTGGCACGATCCTAGTTCACTGCAGCCATGATCTCCTGGGCTCAAGCCATCCTCCAGCCTCATCCTCCTGAGTAGCCGAGACTATAGGCGCATGTCACCATGCCCATGGTTTTGTTTTTTTTTTTTTTGGCCATGTATGTAGCCCAAATTGGTCTGGAACTTCTGGGCTCGAGTAACCCTCCTGCCTCCCAAAGTGCTGGGATTCCAGGCCTGAGCCACCGCGCCTGGCCCCAATTCTCTTATGGAACCTTGCAGGATCAGAAATGGGTTTCCTTCTTGGTAGTTTGGGCGGCGGTCCTGACAGGAAGAAGGGAGGCCGCCTTGGCGTGGCTGTTTTGGTAGCTGGACCGTGAATCATGGAGGCCTGGCCGGCTCCCACACGGTGGCGTCCTTGAGTTCCAGATCCTCTTTCTGTTCTCTGTGTCTCCTCTCTCTCTTTGCACATTCATGGAGGTTCTCTGGGCACCGCCCCCATGGCCCTGCCTGAGAGGTGGAGGTGGTGCCAGGCTGACCCTCCAGGGACAGCTCTGCCACCTGCAGGAGCACTGGCCGCAGTGCATCGGAGCGTGCAGGTGGCTTCTGTGCCATGGTGTGGGTGGCAGCCCCAGCACGGCCGGCCCCGGTCGGCAGCTCCTGTTTCAAGGGCAGGTTGGAGGCTGGCTGGCCGCTTGCCCCACCCTGGGCAGCCTGCACCCAGAGTCGAGGGGTAGGCAGTCTCCATCCGAAGAATGCGCCCCTCCTTATCCCGAAACCTCAGAGGCCTCCTTCCTCAGATGCCAGCTGTTTTCTCAGTGCCCTTGGCCGTGCCCTCACCCCTCTCTCACCGGAAGCCCCACCCCAGCCTGTCGTCCCCGGTCTCCTGAAAGCCAGCAAGCCTCGTCGGTGCCGCCCACACCCCTGACCTCACGCAGCCCCACGTCAGGCTCGATCTTTTGTCCAGTTGTCCCTGCGTCGCTGCCGTCTCCACGAGGCTCTGACCACTGACACCGTGTGTGGCGGGGCGCAGGGGCAGCTGGAGGGTGTGCTGGGGGCTCCGTGCCCTGGCATGGCTCCTCCACATTTTGCCAACCCAGAGGCACAGGCGTGAGGTGTGTGGTGGTTCTCAGGGTCAGTGGGTCTTGGCCTTGGCTTTCAAGGTGTTGATGGGCCCTGGGACTGATGTGCCCGTGTGTCTGAGCCCACGTCCCCTGGGCGAAGCTCCCATTTTCACTGACCTGTCCAGAGCGTTCTGGGTGAGCCTGCCCTGCGTGTCCATGGTGCGGCGCGCTCTAATGAGCTGCAGCCGTGGCCACTCTGCACCCTCTGAGACAGTCACCCATGGGGACGGCGAACACCCACTGCCTCCAGAAGATTCCCAGCACTCTGCCAGCAAAGCCATGTGGAAAATGCTGGGGCAGAGGACTGGGGTGCGTGAGGGTGGCGTAGAGCCCAGGGGTGGGTTCGTGGGAAGGTGTGTCCACTTGTAGATTTGGTGGCATTGCCAGATCACACGCCCCATGGGCAGTGTGGAGAGACCTCCCCTGCCCCGCGTGCCCTCCACAGCTCCTGCTCCTCGGCCTGAGGTGTGGATGCTGGTGTCGCAGGTAAACTGGCGTTTCTTTCACGGTCATCGAAGCAAGAGTGCTTGGTATGCCTGGAGGCCGACTGCGTTTCTTTTTTTGGGAACTCCTGGAGTTTCCTGCTGCCCCTTTGTTTTAAGGAAAAACTCTCACACCGTGTTTCTCCTCCTCCCACCACAACAGTTGTCCACACAGAAGGTGGGTGTGAAGGGTCTTCCCCATGCACCACGCAGGGGTCGCTGCTGCCTTCTAATTCAGTTCCGACAGTATGGACCCGGGGTAGCGTCCGATCGCACGGGTTGAGGGCTCCGTCCCCAAAACTGCCCTCTGACACATACCGGTAAACTGTCTGAGCCTCTGGAACTGACCAGTTGACTTCAAGTTGGGGTTCCCACAACCCCGTTTGCTGGCGTGGCTCACAGTGCTCAGGGAAACATGACGTCAGCATTCTCCCCCGGGGAGTGGGGGACCCTCTCAGGAGAGGGTCCTGAGACCCACAGTCAGAAAGGCGGGGAACATTGGAGTCCTGCTTTGGGGCAGGTAAAGGGCAGGCGGGAAGGTCAGAGGCTGCCCGAGGCCCGACACAGCCAACGTCGTAACAGAAAGCTAACAAGCAGCACGGGAGTTAGGAGCCGGAAACCAGCGTCTGAGTCTCAGCACCGCAGCCCGGGTTCTGCCAGCTGCTCCGGAAGGTTCCAGGGCGTGGGCCCTCTCGCCCTGGTGGCCTCCTGCTGCACCACTTCCTGATCCTCCTGCTTCCTATGCTTATTTCTGTTTAAAAAACAGGAAAATATGTTCACATCAAACGCGCATATGTGCAGCCATGCCCATGTCCCTTGCTGCAGCTGACTGAGGGTCTGGAGCTGTGCCTAGGAAGCCCCCCAGGAATAGACCCTGGTTGTGAGGCTGTCTGAGGAGGCCTTTTGTCTCCCGGTAGGAGCACGTTTGCCGTGGACGGGAAAGATTGCAAGGTGAATAAAGAAGTGGAGCGTGTCCTGAAGGAGTTCCACCAGGCCGGGAAGCCCATCGGGTGTGTACAGCCGTGCAGGCCTCGGGGAGGGAGGGAGGAGGGTGCGTGGGCCCGCGGCCTCTGTTCTCAGCCAGGAGCTGCCGCTGATCCTGAAAACTCACAGCTGGTTTTCTTGTTTTAACTGAGGGGATTTCACACGATGTCACTGGTGACTTAACAGGAAGGAGAGGCACACTGCACTTCCCTAGAGGAGGCCTGGAATTCTCTTGGCTCCCAGAGGTGTCCCTAGGCAGTCCCTCAGGACCCCTATCCTTTACCAGACCCCTTCTCCCAAGCCCCTTAGCCACAGTACCCCCAACCCCGCTGACTTCTGGCCAGTCACTGCAGCACGTGCTCCATCCCTGACGCCATCCACTCCCAGCGGCCTCCCTCCTGGGGAGCCACAGCCAACCACGCCCCTTTGTCCCTGCTCAGACAAAGCCTGGGTCCTGAGGTTGGCGGCACGAGTAGGGCGCCCACTCCTTCATCCACGTAAGCGCCTTGGCTTACGTGGCGGGTCGCAGCCCCGCAGGGAGTGTGTGCTCTTCAGCGTCTGCTGCCGGGAAGTCACTCTCAGATGTGTGAGGGTGACCCAGCAAGGCCGGGTTCCGCCTCGGCAGGTGTGATGCTTCCACGAGCCTCCCGGCACCTGCTCCTTGGTGGTCCTGGAACGCGGCGCTGTGCTGTCCAGGTCTCAGCTGCGTCTGGTGCTGGCAGGGCGAGAGCCGCACTTGCGTGGGTGAACATCAGTGAGGCGCACTCGCGATGGCCGCTCACTACCGAGTTCTGTCAGCCGAACAAGGATGAGGATCTATCGGAATCCTCTGTCTCCCCACCCACAGTCACTCACTTAAGGACCTGCCTGGTCACTGTCCAGGGAGGCCCCTAAAGTGGAGCCTCAGGAAGAGGTGCAGGCTCAGAGCTCCTGAAGGAGGTCCCTGCTGCAGCCGTGTCACAGCCGGGGTGAAGGTTTCGCCCATGGTCTCCACCTCGGGATCCCGTCCTTGTCAGAGAAGTGTTCCTTGGATGAGCGCCCAGAGGGAGGAGCCCATGGCCCTTTCTTCTGTGACTGATTAAAAATCTCGATGAAACAAGACAGCCCCTGGCAGGTGAACCACTGCCTCTGAGCATGCCTCCCCTGAAAACAGTGTGGGGCGCAAGCCCATCTCCTCCCCAATCCAGCCATGAGGCTCCCCTGGAAACAGCACAGGGCGCAAGCCTGTCTCCTCCCCGGTCCAGCCATGAGGCTCCCCTGAAAACTGCAGGGCACAAGCCCGTCTGCTCCCCGGTCCAGCCATGGGGCTTCCGTGCACGGTGACCCACAGGCTTTTTTCCTGAGGAAACCTAAATCCTTTCCCACTGGCCCCACCCACCCCTCAGCCTGGTGTCAGAGGCCTGCGTGGCCAGCCAGGGGCTGTTAGGCGGCCCAGCCGCTCACTGCTGGGACCCCTTCCTTGAATGCAGTAGTCGAGGTGGGCGCTGGGCTGTGCCAGGAGCCACTGTGGCATCTGTAGCTGGCAGTTGATGGCTGGGCGGCTGCACGCAGCGTCGGGAGCTGCTGAGAACCTGCTTCCTGGACTTTCTGCCTGCGCAGAGGGCGGCAGGGGGGTTTCATCTCATAGGCAGCCAGAAGTTGCTTCAGGACATGCAGTTTTGGGGGGCGGGTTTGTTTTGAGAGTATCGCTCTGTTGCCCAGGCTGGAGTGATCTTGGCTCACTGCAACCTCCGCCTCCCGGGGTCAAGCAATTCTCCTGCCTCAGCCTCCCAAGTAGCTGGGATTACAGGTGTCTGCCACCAGGCCGAACTTTTGTAATTTTAATAGAGACAAGTTTTCGCCATGTTAGTCAGGCTGGTCTCGAACTCCCGACCTCAGGTGTTCTGCCTGCCTCAGCTGCCCAAAGTGCTGGGATTACAGGCATGAGCCACTGCACCTGGCTGTGAAATGTGTTTTTAACAGTGTTTCGTTACAGCTCACGGTAGCAGTTTCCACCTGGGCCTGTCGGGAGTGGGTAGGACTGTAGACAGCGGGAGGAGGGATGAAGGGTGCGGGGTGTTGAGGGCAGGGTGGGGCCTGACAGCTGTGGGCTACACCACAGGTTGCCAGGGGATGGGGCTGCTGTTAATGAGGCCGTACTCCTTCCACTGTTGCCCCTGGGTGGCCATGAGGCGCTGGACGACACAGGTCACTGAAGGCCCTGCTGTGGGCACAGTGCCTGGCACACAGGGGCCTCTGTTGACTTGGCAGGGAAGGGTTCCTGATGAAGCAGAAGCAGGTCCCAGGGGTGGGTGTGGCAGGACCCTCAGTTTCAGGGCTGCTGCGGCCTGTGCGTCAGGGTCAGGGGCGTGCGCCCACCAGCCTGCACTTGTTGAGAGTTGTGCTGCAGGTCAGAGGCTGGCGAGGCTGCTCCTGGCCCATTGTGCCTCCTGTAGAAGGGGGGCTGGTGTGAATGAGAAGTGCAGCTGTGTTATCTATTGCTGGGTCACAGACCACCCCACAACTCAGGGCTGGGGCAGCCGCACATCATTACCCTCTCTGTGAGTGGACTTTGGCAGCCCGGGACTCTCGCCAGTCTGGGGTGTCCTGGGGCTTGGGGCTTAGCCCATGGCTGTTGGGGGTTCCCCTCAGGGGTCCTTGGCCTGGTGCTTGAGTGCCTGCAGGGCGTGCTTGGCGGGGAGTGGGGCTGAGGACACCTCACTCTCAGCCTTGAGTCACCTGGTGCCACCTCCATCACATCCCATGGGCCACAGCCTTCTGGCAGCGCAGGCTCACAGGGGGCAGGGTCGGCAGGGCTCCCGTGGCAGGGCAGCCTGGGGTCATGGCGAGGGTAATTTCTGTTCTGCAGGCCATGCAGCCTGCCTGACCCGTGTTCTTTTCGCCTTTCAGCTTGTGCTGCATTGCACCTGTCCTCGCGGCCAAGGTGCTCAGAGGCGTCGAGGTGACTGTGGGCCACGAGCAGGAGGAAGGTGGCAAGTGGCCTTATGCCGGGACCGCAGAGGCCATCAAGGCCCTGGGTGCCAAGCACTGCGTGAAGGAAGTGGTCATATCCTTCCTGGTAGCCAGGCCCGGCCCGCTGTCGTGCTTGTCCCTGAGACGTGCATAGGGACGCCCCTCCCTCCGGGCTGTCTTGGTGGGTGGCCTCTTCACCGGGAGCTGCACCTGCTGCTCTCCCTGTGGGGCCTCCCCCAGTGGGCACCGCAGCCATGTGTCTAAGGGCAGAGAGCAGATGGCTGTGACAGCCCAGCTGGTGTGAGGTGGGTCACAGACACGTCAGAAGCGCAGCTCTGGTGCGTGGTTGGCAGATCCGGCAGATCCAGGTCCCTTGCCTGACTGTTTAGTCTGCTCAGCAACACCCAGGCAGCCACACTCCGGGCCCAGCGGGGGGAGGGTGAGGAAAGAGTGTGTGCGAGGTGTGGAGGGAGAGCAGCCGGGCGTGCAGGAGGCGGGGGCTTCCTGAGATGCTGGGGGAAAGCGGCCGGGTGTGCAGGAGAAGGGGCTTCCTGGCTTCATTTGGGCGGAAGTTCTCAGGCCAGTTTGGGTGGCCAGGTGATTCAGCCAGCCTTGCGGCCCCCAGCCCCTCCTGTTGAGGTGTGTACCCTGAGTTCTGAGATGATGGACCAAGAACGCCAGCGGGGCTGTTGCCCAGGGAGATTTGGAGGGAGGCTCCTGGAAGGCCCTGCCTGGATCTGGGAGAATGTCCATGTGAGCCCAACTGAGAGAACAGAACACTCCGGGGTGCCGGAAGGCACTGGAATGAGTAGAGCATGGACCCGGTCCCCTGCAGGTGTTGTTCTGAAGGGTGCAGTTCCTCTCAATGGGGCAGCTTTTTTCTCACAGGCAGCTTCAGACGTCAGGCCCCGTCTCCCTCCCTGCGGCTTTCCTGCTGGGCAGGAGCGCAGTGCAAGGCTGGCCCCAGGCCTCTGACTGCTTGCAGGAAGATAGGGGCACGTGTCTTGGGTGGTGTGGAGGCCTGGCCAGTGGTTACATGCGTGGTGTTGGGGAGGCTCAGGTCTGTGGCTGGCCGGCCCCAGTTGTGCCACCTGCTGCCCTGTTGCCTGTTGCCCTGCCCCATGAGGACCGGCTCCTTCACGGCCAGTTCTTCATCTGAAAAGCGGAGGTGCTGCCACTGCCTCCCGTGGTGGTTGTGAGCACCCCAGGCATGTGTGCGCCCCCATGGCGGGGCAGCTCGTGGCCATGTGTGGGTGTTGGGCCTGTGTGATGCTGGCATGAAAGGTGCCCCGTTCCCTGGAATTTCCCGCTGCTTTCTTCCTCTAGAATGCATGTGAATTGGGAACAGGTTCCTTCTTATGTTGTTCAGCAGCATAAATCATACAGAAAGCAGGGTCCTGCCGGCACAGACTGCACCAGGAGCGACTTCTCCTCTTCCAAGTTATCTGAGAACAAAGTTAGGACACGCGGTGAGGGTGGGGGAGGGGCCGGGGCTCCACACCTGAAAGTCCCTCAGGTCCGTGCTGGGTGGCTTTTTCCGTAACTCTGCACACGAAGCTCACGTGGACCAGAAAAACAAGGTGGTCACGACCCCAGCCTTCATGTGCGAGACGGCACTCCACTACATCCATGATGGGATCGGAGCCATGGTGAGGAAGGTGCTGGAACTCACTGGAAAGTGACGCGCATGGACGGGGCCCAGCTAGGCGCCAGGACTTGGCCTCACCCTCTGGCTGAGGAGCTGTCGGCTGCTTTCCATCCAGCTGGGAGTCTGGCAGGCCCTTTTTTTTTTTTCTTTGCCGAAACCTGCAGGCGTTCTCTCTCTAAGGAGGATGTGCTGCAGTGCATGGGGGATGTTTCTTCCTGGGTGTGGCTGGGCTGCTCTCACATACAGAGGCCGAGGGGCCAATTCGTTCTCTGCCACAGGGACTTGCCTCACTGTGTCCCAAAAACAAATCGCAGCCAGCTTTTCCAGAAATAGAAAATTCTGCCGTCTGAGGTTTTATACTTCAGGTTAGTTAGTTTTTGGAAGGAAGAACATTTTTAGGTTTGCAAGCCTCCTGATCAGGAAACCAGAAATACCACATTTATGGACCATGAAAGGTTGGTTCTTGACTCTGAAGGGACTTTTGAGTTAATCAGCGTAAGGGGATTTCTAAAGCAGGCAATCCCTGTAGCCGCAGAGAATAAACGCCTTCCCAAAATGGCAACTTCCCACAGCCACATTTCAGACCTGCTGAGACTGCTGAGTGAGGAATGGCAGTGAGGTTTCTTCAATTAGTCTCAGTTCTCTTAATTTTCAGGAAGAAAGGGAAATTGCAGCTCCTCAGCCCCCAGGATTGACCTCTGGGGAGTGATGGTAGCGTTGGTGCCAGGCCGTGGGTTCAGGTGTGGCAGAAGCTTGCAGATGCGTCCGAAGGGAAATAAAGTGTGTTGGCGTTAGACTTTGTGCTGCATTCATCTGTGTGTTCAGGGTTGTTTGGGGAAGAAAACATTTGGGGTGGGAGTCAGGTGTCTGCACGCTTCACTCAGTGTCACATATCTGTTGCTGTTTGGGTCTGTCTCTGCCTGAGCAGCCAGGGCCAGGCCAGCCTGAGAGGCCCCACGCTGGGTGGGTGGCAGGAGCTGCCCAGTGTTGGGTGGCGGTGTGGGAAACGCCCACTCTGGCTGCTGGCGTGGCTGTTCCGCGTGGTCTGGTTTGCACCTCCCTGTGTGTCAGGTGCTGGGCCCGGAATGGGGGTGCAGGCCCTGGTCCCACAAGACTCGAACCCTCAATTGCACTGGTACCCACCACACCCCCTCGGCCCTCCCCACCCACTGCATGGAATCAGCGGATTCATTCTACCGCCTTGAGAGGGCGTGGGGGGCCCATGGGTAAGGCAGGAAGGCCCCGGTGCACCCTGCATCGGGTCTCAGCCTGACACTTCTGGTTCTTCCTCCGTGGGAGCTGGGTTCTCCAGTGGCCTTCCTCCCACTGAGGCCGGGCCTCAGGAAGTCCTCACGGGCGCCCACGCCCGCTGCAAACGCCCACAGCACTCGCCTTGGGGCCAGGATTACCCTGTCCCCAGCAGCGGAGGAGCCTCCCATGTCCAGGGTAAGGTGGGGCTCCTCCCCTTTCTCATAGGCTGGTAGGGACACATTTTGCATGGCTGGAGGGGGGGTACCCGTATACCACGCATGTTTATTCACGTGTGTGTGAGTGTATGGAAAAGTGCACAAGTCACAAGCATTCACTTTGGGGTTTCCACAAAGCAAATACGCAAAACCATCGCTCGGGCCTGGAACGGTGGCACTGTCCCCAGAGCCTCTCAGCCTCCCGCAGGCACTGGCTGCGTGCTTGTTTGCGCGCTCTCTCTGAGGTGATCCAGTGTGGCGCCCCACACGCAGGTGCTTCTGCTGGGCCAGGCCTGTCCTCACCTGCATCTGCCCTTAGCCCAGGTGGCCCTGTGGGTCCTCAGTGTCCCCACTTGCAGATGAGGCTTTGCTCCCCCCAGGGCCCTGCAGCTTGTAGGGCTTGGCTGGGACTCAGCTCCGGGCAGCGCAGCACCAGAACCCCAGCCCTAGAAATAGATCTTGGGACGTTGGGAAGCCCAGAGAGGGGCCGTGACAGAACCGGAGAGCTCGGTCCTGGGTTCACTGCAGGAGAGTTTGGGCCTGGGTTCACTGGACAGTGACTCCGTGGCTGCTGCGTGCCAGGCACCTTCAGGTACCAAGGGCACTGTCACGAGCATGCCCTCGTCCTGGAGTTCAGGTGGGGGCAGCCAGTATGTGGCCCGGTGAGCCATGGAGTCCCCCTGGCAGTGGTGGGGGTGTGGACATGCTGGGAAGGAGGATGGCAGTGCCAGGCATGCATAAAGTGATCAAGGAAGGGGACAAGGGGTCCAGTGGGAACAGGAGCTAACCAGGGGTTCAAGGTCAGGGCGTGGGGAGGGAGGGGCGCTGGTGACATGCATGGTTCCCGGGACCAGCCCGTCCTGCCATCCCAGAGGCCTCTGCATCCCACAGGCTGTGCACCCTGGAACGTGGTTGTGGCTTTAGGTGCTGCCACCAGGGGGCGTGGCAGAACTGTCTTTGGGGCTGACCACGGGCAGGCGGCCCCTCACCAAGCTGCTTCCTGTTGGTGCCATCAGAGTCTGGGCTATCCTCTCCTGAAGCCCTCTCTGGTCTCCACATGCCCCACCCCTTTGCCCTGTCCCTCTTATTTCCTTCCAGGGTACCTCCTCACCTCCTGTCCAGGTCACCAGAGCTTCACCTGTGGACATGCCCCATTCCCTGATAATCCTTTCTTCATTCTCCATTTCTCCACCACTCCCAGCTCCCCCAGCACTCCCAGCTGCTCCACACTCAGTCCCCTGCTCCACACTCAGCCCCCAGCTCCCCCACCATTCCCAGCTGCTCCACACTCAGCCCCCAGCACCCCCACCACTCCCAGCTGCTCCACACTCAACCCCCAGCTCCCCCACCACTCCCAGCTCCTCCACAGTCAACCCCCAGCTCCCCCACCACTCCCAGCTCCTCCACACTCAACCCCCAGCACCCCCACCACTCCCAGCTGCTCCATACTCAACCCCCAGCTCCCCCACCACTCCCAGCTCCTCCACACTCAACCCCCAGCTCCCCCACCACTCCCAGCTCCTCCACACTCAACCCCCAACCCCCCCACCACTCCCAGCTGCTTCTCCATTCCCACCTGTTCTTCCTTCCTGGTGTTCTTCTCCCCAGACCTGGTCTGACTGTCCCTCCCAGTCCCTCATTACCTGGGGATGGACGTCTTCCACTCTGACCTCCAGGCTCTCTTGAAGGCTGCTCCTTCCCTTTCTCCCCCTGAGCTCCTTGCTGTCTCAGACCCCTGCCCAAGGAGGCCTGTAACTCCAGCCCTTCTCTGTGCACTACACTTGGAGTGGGGCACCGCCCACTCAGCATATCCAGACTGGGCCCCCCACGCGTACTTCTTCCTGTCTCTGTCTTGGGGGCCATCATGTGCCCAGATCCCCATGAGAAACTGGTCCCAGCCGCCTGTTTCTCCCTGCCCCTCCCTCTGCCGCCAGCTATGGGTTTTGCCTCCAAATATGTCCAAGCCACCCCCTTCCTCTCCTGTGCCTAGACCGGGTTCATGCCTACTCCCCACATCTGGTCCTGACACCTTCCATCCCTCCCTCCTGGGACGACCAGCCCCCCTCTTTGTATTACTGGCTCCCCTTGTCTCTCGGCTCTCAGCATCACTCTGCAGAGAGGACTTCCCAGCACGCCCTGGCTGAGGAGGGGTCCCTGGGCCACTCGCTGCACAGATCTCGAGGTCTGTGAGTACACATGTATCACAGCTTTGTCATCTGTCTCCCCACTGCACTGGGAGTGTCAGGAGAGAGGATGGGGGCCTCATGGGTGCCCTCCACCTTCCCCGGCCAGGCCCGGGCTCTGAGGTGGTGGGCTCTGGGCATGAGCAGGCCAGTGCGTGCTGCGAGGCCCAAGGCTCACGGACCTGACACGCCCACCTTGGTGCCCGCCCTCTCCCAGGCCCCTCCCACCTACTGCTGGCCAGCGTCTTCCTCTAGGGCTCCCTCAACATCACCTTTTCTGTTTTGTTTTAAATAGACTTTATTTTCTAGTGCAGTCTTAGCTTCATGGCAAAATGGAGCAGAAGGTACAGAGAGTCCCACACACTCCCTGCCCCCACGCATGCACGGCCTCCCTCACCATCACCCCCGCACACCCCCGCCCGCCAGAGCACACATTTATTAAGGCAGCCAACCCACACGGATGCGCCATCACCCCGAGTCCACGGCATCCGTTAGAGCCCACTCTTGGTGTTAGCCATTCCGTAGATTCGGACAAATGTAGGACACGGGTCCGCCATTTACAGAGAATGCAAAATGGTTTCATTGACCTGAAAACCCTTGGCTCTGCCCGTTCCTCCCCCACCCTCCACCCCCGTAACCACTGATGGTTTTTACTGTCCCCACAGTTTTGCCTTTTCCAGAATGTCATGTGGTTGGACTCATGCACTATGTGGCCTTTTCTGATTGACTCCTTTCGCCTGGTAATAGCATTTATATTTCCTCTGTGTGTTTTCATGGCTTGACAGCTCATTTCTTTTTAGTGCCGAATAATATTCCATTGTTTGGCTCTACCACAGTTTATCCATTTACCCTCTCTCAAGAGCATCTTAGGCTTGTCCCAGTTTGGGGCATTTATGAATAAAGCTGCTATAAACACCGGTGTGGAGGTTTTGGTGTGGACACACATTTTCACCTCTTTTGGGTAAATCCCAAAGGGGATTTACCAGGGAGTGTGATTGCCGGATCATATGGTGAGAGTTTTGCAAGAAGCTGCCAAACTGTCTTCCCAAGTGGCTGCACCATTTTGTGTTCCCACCAGCAATGAATGGGCGTTCCTGTGGCTTCACGTCCTCACCAGCATTTGGTGGTGTTCGTGTTTTGGATTTTGGCCAGCTGATAGGTGTGTAGTGGTATATTGTTTTAATTTGCTATTTCCTACTGACATATGATGCTGAGCCCCTTTTCATGGCTTATTTACCATCTGCGTATCTTCTTTGGTGAGGTATCTGCTCAGAATTTTTGCCTATTTTTAAATTGGTTGTCCCTTTTCTTTTTGTTGAGTTGTAAGAGTTGTTTGTAAATTTTGGCTCGTAATCCTTTCATGGATATCTCATTTCTAGTTATTTTCTCCAGGTTTGGGGCTTGTTCTTCTTATTCTCTTGACAGTGCCTTCACAGAGCAGTTTTTAATCTTAATGAAATCGAGTTTCTCACTGGTTTCTTCTTGGATAGTGGTCCGCCCCCGCCTTATTAAAAAAAGAAAGAAAGAAAGAAACAGGGTCTCACTGTGTTGCCCAGGCTGGTCCCAAACTCCTGGGCTCAACTGATCCTCCTGCCTCAACCTTCCAAAGTGCTGGGATGCCAGGTGGGAGCCACTGGGCTCAGTCTTGTGTTTTTAAAACTCATCACCAAACCCTCGGTCATCTAGATTTTCTCCTGTGTTATCTTCTAGGAGTTTGATAGTTTTGCATTTCACATTTAGGTCTGTGATCATTCTGAGTGAATTGCTGTAGGGGTGGAATGTGTGTGTTGGGATTCATTTTGGGAATGTGAACGCCCCGTTGTTTGGCTCCATTTGGTGGAGGCTGTGCCCCATTGCATTGCTTTTGCCGCTTTGTCACAGACCAGTTGACTCTCCATGCGGATTTGTTTCTGGGCTCTCTCTCCGCTTTCACTGGTCTGTTTTGCCAACACCCTGTCGTGAGTACTGTAGCTTTATAGTAAGTCCGGAGCCTGCCAAGTCTTCAGAGTTGTAATCTGCCCCTATCAGATGTCCAAACCATGCCCCCAGGGCCCTGAGATCAGGTCCCCAGGAGGGCCTGGCTGGAGTACCCATAGCCCTGAGCGCCAGGAGAGCAGGGTCTGCCTGCTGTGGGAGGTCTGTCCTCGCGAGGTCGGACACCCAGCCCTGGTTGTCCTGGTCCACCTGGTATGACCCTGCCCTGTTCCTGCTTCTTCCAAGCACCCGTGACCCTGGGAAGCCTGTCACAAACACCTCCCTGGACAACCCATGCTACAGAGTGCACCACGCCAATTGCCACCACAGCCTCAGGCAGCACTGTCACCCACAGCAGAGGCCGCCCTCACAATCTCACACTTCAGGAGCCCAGGTGGGACGCTAGCCAGGGTCCCTAGAGGTGGCTTTGCCGGCCCAGGCAGCCCCATCTCTCCGGGACCCCACTGCTCCCTGGGTCCAGCCCAGGCCCTGATTCAGCAGCAGCTCCATAAAGAAGTAAAACGAGAATATTCACGGGGCCCACACTTAGTGGACTCCTGTCACATGGTGTCCAGCATGGCTCGTGGGTGAGGACAGCAAAACCACCAAGAAATGACCCGAGAGGCCAACAGCAGCTCCCTGGGAATGCCACACTCTCCAGGAAGACATAGCAACTCTGAAACACACAACTTAGGTAGAAATCTAACAAGATATTTACAAGATCTGTGAGGAAAATTATAAAACTTTAATAAGTCAAAGAGGTAAAATGGAAAGATATTCCACACCCCTTATTATGCATAACTCCTTTTATTCCTGATAAGCTTCTTTGCTCTGAAGTGTGCTCTGAAATTAATATAGCTATTCCAGCTTTCTTGTGATTAATGTGAGTATGGTATTTCTTCCTCTGTTCATTTACTTTTAATCTACATGTGTCTATTTATTTATTTATTTATTTATTTAGAGACAGAGTCTTGCTCTGCCACCCATCTCTACAGTGATGAGATCATGGCTCACTGCAACCTCCGCCTCCCGGGTTCAAGTGATTCTCCTGCCTCAGCCACCTGAGTAGCTGGTCTACAGGCACAAGCCACCACGCCTGGCTAATTTTTGTATTTTTAGTAGAGATGGGGTTTTGCCGTGTTGGCCAGGCTGGTCACGAACTCCTGACCTCAAGTGATCCGCCCGCCTCTGCCATCCAAAGTGCTGGGGTTACAGGCGTGAGCCACTGCGCCCAGCCATTGTTTTTATTTTTAAAGTGGGTTTTGTGTAGATAACATATAGTTAGGTCTTATTTTTTGATCCGTTTTGACAATCTCTGTCTTTTAATTGGTGCATTTATACCACTGACATTCAAAGTCACTGTTGATATAGTTGGATTAATATCTACCATGTTTGTTCCTATTTTCTATTTTTTGTTTTTGTTTTTTATTTTTTCTGCCTTTTGTGGTTTTAATTGACCATTTTATGATTTTATTTTCTATTCTTTCTTAGACATCAATTATACTTTTTCACATTTTCAGTGGTTACCCTAGATTTTGTGATACACATTTCCAACTATTTCAAGCCCACTTTCAAATAACACTGAACTGCTTGCTAATCGGTAGCCCAAGTATTTTTTGTTTTGTTGTTTTTTGAGACAGGGTCTTGCTCAGTCGCCCAGGCTGGAGTGCAGTGGTGTGATCACGGCTCACTGCATCCTGGAACTCTTGGCTCAGTCGGTCCTCCCACCTCAGCCTCCTGAGTTGCTGGGACCACAGGCGCATGCCACAGCACCTAGCTAATTTTTGTATTTTTTATAGAGACGGGGTTTTGCCACGTTGCCCAGGCTGGCCTCAAACTCCTGGCTCAAGCAATCCACCTGCCTTGGCCTCCCAAAATGCTGGGATTATAGGCGTGAACCTCTGTGCCCCACCAAAAGTATCTTTTAATAACAGTATGTTCCCAATTCTTCACTCCTGTCCCCTGTATCACTGCTATTATTAGTTTCACTTATACATAAGCATATATAATCAAGTACATTGTTATAACTTTAACAAACTTCTGTCTGTTCCATTAAGATTAATGGCCAGGCATTGTGGCTCATACCTATAATCCCAACACTTTGGGAGACTGAGGTGGGAGGATCGTTTGAGGCCAGGAGTTCAAGACCAGCTTGAGCAACATAGTGAGAGCCCATCTCTCCAAAAATTAAAAAACGAGCTGGGCATGGTAGTGTGCACCTGTGGTCCCAGCTACTTGGGAGGCTGAGGTGGGAAGATCGCCTGAGCCCAGGTGATCAAGATTGCAGTGATTACACCATTGCACTCCAACCTGGGTGACAGAACAAGACCCTGTCTCAAAAAAAAAAAGAGTAAGAAAAATAAAAGCTTTTATTACCTTTCTTATTCCTTCTCGATCACTCGTGCCTTTCTTTATGTAAATCCAAGTTTCTGACTTGTACATTTTTTTTCCTCTCTAAAGAACTTTTAACACCTTTTGCAAAGCAGGTCTACTAGTAACAAATTCTCAATTTTTGTCTAAGTCTATTTTTCCTTGACTTTTGAAGGATAATTTCGCTGGATACAGAATTCTAGGCTTGTGGATTTTTTCTCAACACTTTAAATATTTCAGTCCACTGTATTTTTACTTGCACAGTTTCTGTAAAGTCAAAACTAATTCTATAAGAAATGAATGTATTCTTTGTCTGTAGTTTAGGTGTTCCTCCCCACCCGCTGCTGGCTTCTTTCAAGATTGTTTCTTTAACTTTCTGCAGTTTCAATACCAAATGCCTAGGTGTAGATTGGGCATGATACCGCTTTTAGCCTGCTCTAAAACACAAGCAGGACTTGGTGCCTGGACAGGCACCCAGCAGGGGAGACAGTTCCAGGACTCACCCCAGCTGCTGCAAGCGTTTCCCTGCAGGAATGGGATGTGGCTGGGGAAGGGGTGTGGCTGTGGAAGAGGTGTGGCTGCGGAAGCCTTCCAGGCTCCTGCTGGGTCTGGAAGTGCTCCCTACCCCCGTGTCTGTGTTGCTTTCCTGGGGCCTCCAGCCGTGGTGAGAAAGGCATGGGTGGGGGCCGAGGGAGGGGCTGGCTGGCTTTAGACTGTGCTGCTGCGTAGATGGGTGCCTGGCAGCCTCCCTGGGCACAGCCGTGGAAGAGACTGCCATCTCCGTCAGCCTCAGTCACCCCGACCCTGAGGCCCAGCGGCTGTCCTAGAGGGGAGGAACTGGAACCTGGGAAGTCGACCAGGTGTGCACCATGGGGTCATTGGCCGGCACTAACCACCAAGTGGCTTCAGGGGTGGGGGCAGCCTGGGTAGACCAGGCCAGGAGACCGGCCCAAACCAAACGGCTGACTCACGGGATTGTGAGCAAATACAATGATGGTTTCAAGCCACTAACAAAATCTCTCAATTTCACTTAGCGTCATGTTCTCGGGGCCCATCTGTGTTGCAGCGTGTGTCAGAGTTTCCTTCTTATGGCTGAAAAATATTCCATCGTGTGCGTGGGCCACATTTTGTGTGTTCATTCCTCTGGCGATGGACGCTCGGGCTGCTTCCGTGTTTTAGCTGGTATGAATAATGCTGGCGTGAACATGGGCGCCAGGTGTCTCTCTGAGACTCACTTTCGGTTCTGCTGGGCCCACGCCTGGAAGTGGAATTGCCGCGTCATGTGCTCGTTCTGACTTGAGGAACTAACTGCCTTCCTGCTCTCCCTGCAGCTGCGCCATCTTCCAACCCAGCAGCGCTACACAAGGCTTCCGGTTTCCCCACATCCTCGCCGACACTTGTCACTGTTTTTGTTGATAATGGATGTGAGGTGGTTGTGGGGATTTCTTGCCAGGCCTTCCCGGGGAGCTGCTGTTGGCCTCTCGGGTCATTTCTTGGTGGTTTTGCTGTCCTCACCCACGAGCCATGCTGGACACCATGTGACACGAGTCCCCTAAGTGTGGGCCCCGTGCATATTCTCATTTTACTTCTTTATGGAGCCACTGCCGACTGCAGGGTCCGGGCTGGACCCGGGGAGCAGTGGGGTCCCGGAGAGATGGGGCTGCCTGGGCCGGCAAAGCCACCTCTAGGGAACCTGGCTAGCATCCCATCTGGGCTCCTGAAGTGTGAGATTGTGAGGGTGGCCTCTGCTGTGGGTGCCAGTGCTGCCTGAGGCTGTGGTGGGAATGGAGCAGGGCACTCTGTAGCGTGGATTGTCCAGGGAGGTGTTTGTGACAGGCTTCCCAGGGTCACGGGTGCTTGGGAGAAGCAGGAACAGGGCAGGGTCATCCTGGGTGGACCCGGACGACCAGGACTGGGTGCCTGGCCTCAAAAGGACAGACCTCCCTGAGCGGGCAGACCCTGCTCTCGTGGAGCTCAGGACTGCCGGGGCTCCAGCCAGTCCCTTCCCCGCTCCTCCTGGGGACCTGATCTCAGGGCCCTGGGGGCGTGGTATGGACGTCTGACGGGGCAGATTCCATCTCTGGTGATGACTTGGCAGGTCCCCAGCGAGAGGAGCGCAGCACCCTGGCTGGTGCTGCGGTGGGGGCGAGGGGAAGGCGGGGCAAGGCGTTCTTCCCACGGCCAGGCCACCGAGTCGCCTGGAGGGCCTCATGAGGAATGAGTTTCACTGCCCAGACAAGCAGTGTTGGCCAGCCAGGCCTAGTTCCTGATTCCAGCTCAGCAGCTGACTCTCCTGCCATGGGACCTCAGACAAATCATGTGCCCGCGGCGGCTCCAGAGAAAGGGGCTGAGGACACCTGCTCATGGGGCTTGCAAGGACTTGAACTGCATGCGTGCGCGGGTGTGCACATAGGCACGTGTGACGTGTGTATCCGTGCGTGTGCAGGTGTGCACATAGGCACGTGTGATGTGTGTATCCGTGCATGTGTGTGTGCGGGTGTGCAGCGCACCTGTGGGCAGGCAGGTGTGTGTGCACACGTCTGCACATAGTCATGTGTGATATGTGTATCTGTGCACATGTGTAAGCCTCTGGGACCAGGTCCGGTAGGCCCCAGCCTGCAGGTGTGGCATGAATGGTAACTATTTTTACTGCCTTGCAGTGTGAGTTACCTTCTTAGAAAACCACTGCAGCCACAAGAAAAACAAACAGCAGCCAGTCATTTAGAGACACGGGCTGGGTGCTGAATGCAGCAGAGCCTTTCTATGGCGAATGCGGAGCCTGTGGCCGGCAGGAGCCGGGAGGGCATCGTCTCTAAGCCTGCAGCTGGCCGGGTGCTCCCGCTCCTGTGGTGGTGGCAGTCCAGGGCTATCAGGCGCTCTGGCTGTCCCGGCTCCCGCCTCTGCCTGGTGGGCAGAGGGGAGGATTGGCAGTTTGCTCCTGCCATGTGGCGTGTGGCTTGTGGGACGCCCACATTGCCGGTCCTCAGGCTGCGGCTGGGACACACCTTCCGAATTTTCCGAGGACCAAGTGCAGTCACACACAGGACCATGCTGTAAACCTGCGCGGCTCCGAGCGAGTGCACGGGGCTGGCGGGCCCTCGATTCGTCAGCAGTCGGGGTCAGTGCTGGCCCAGAGCCAAGGCGGCTCGTGGGTGTCTGGGAGGTTTGGGGTTGCTCAGAGGAGCCCCCCAGGTCAGACTTGGTGCTCCAACCCCTTCTGGAATTCTTTGGTCCATCCCAGAGCTCGGCTCACATTCTTCTCCCATCTTTTAGGCCTTCTGGAACCTTCCAGGGCCCTGTTGCTCCCACTACTTCTTCTGAGGGCGTGCCTACCACGTGCTGGCTCTGTACGTATTTTACCTCATTTAGCAGTTGCTGCAGATGTGCATTGTAGCCGTATCGGAAACCCAGCGCTGCTGTGGCAAAAAATCACCACACCCCAAACCAGCAGAGATTCACCCCACACCCCCACACCAGCAGAGATTCACCCCACACCCCCAAACCAGCAGAGATTCACCCCACGCCCCCAAACCAGCAGAGATTCACCCCACGCCCCCAAACCAGCAGAGATTCACCCCACGCCCCCAAACCAGCAGAGATTCACCCCACGCCCCCAAACCAGCAGAGATTCACCCCACGCCCCCAAACCAGCAGAGATTCACCCCACGCCCCCAAACCAGCAGAGATTCACCCCACGCCCCCAAACCAGCAGAGATTCACCCCACGCCCCCAAACCACCAGAGATTCACCCTCCCACAGTTATGGTGCCAGAAGTCCAAGGTCAAGGTGTGAGCAGGGCTGGCCCCCGAGGCCGTGAGTGGGGTCTGTCCCAGGCCGCTCCTGGCTTTGTGGCCTGAGGTCTTCCGTGCTTCTTGGCTGGCGGAAGCACTGCCACGGCCTCGGCCCCGTGTCATGTGGCCTGTTCTCTCTCTGTGTGTCTGGGTGGGTCAGGGCCCACCCAGCTGACCTTGCTTTAACCTCGTTACCTCTGTGCAGACCCTGCCTCCAAATAAGGTCACACTCACAGGTCTGGGGTCAGGACCTCAACACATGGCTGTGGGGGACACAGTTCAGCCCAGGAGGGAAACTGAGGCACGAAATGGGGTGCATTTCCTGAGGCCCCATGGCTCATAAGGAGACGAGGGGCTGCGGGTTGGGGTCCCAGATGCCCTCTCAACACAGCAGCCACCATCCTGGCTAGTCCCAGGCCCTCCTGGGTCCCCCGTCTTTACTCAGGGTGGCCCTGTGTGCCTGGCCTGTCCTCAGGTCACCCTGACTCTAGTATGGGACACCCCACCTCAGAGGGCACCTCCTCGGGGTTGGGTTATGGTTTTTTTAAGTCTCTTGGAACGCCCCCCCGATGGCGTGGGCCCAGCTGTTGAGGAGGTGGGGCTGTGGTCTTGGCTGACGGTGCGGCACCCGCATACCTGACCTGGTTAGGACCTCCAATCTGGAATTGCTACTGACTCAGTTTCCCCACATGGAAGCCACCCCTCATGCCAGCGACGGGCCTTCTTTTCTGTCCCCTGCTGTGGCCTCCCTGGCGGGTCTTCTGCACCCTGTGTGGCCTGGGTTCTTGGCCCCAGGGGAAAAGGGGGCTCCTGCTGGGGGCAGAGAGGGAGGGGCAGGGCAGGGCCCGGAGAGAGATCTCAGGATTGTCTTCGGATGGCACGGCCTGGTCCCTCAGGTTCTGATCATTTTCTTCATTTTCACGACTCCCTGCACTTTCTGGTTTTGGGTGAGGCCAAATAGCAGAAGTATTAAAATATTCCTCCTTGGGCGTCTCATGGTGTTTCTGATCTGGGCTGAAACAGGAAGCTCTGTGAGCTGATGTGGCACCGGAAGTCTCTGGGAGCCTGGGCTGTGATCCGGCCCAGCCCACCCTGGTGGGGAACGCGTCCTGGGGACCGTGCTGGGTTTTGGGAAAACACTGGGTCACCCTCTCCCATTGAAAGATGGCCTGGGGGAGCTGGGTCCTGTCTACGTGAGTTTGCCGGGGCCGCCTCGCACACACCGTGGCCAGGTGCTCCCACAGCAGATGTGGGTTCTCTCCAGTCCTGGGGGCGTCCCGGGTTGAGGTGCGGCGTGGCTGTTACGAAGCCTCTCCTTGCAGGCAGGCGGCACCACCTCCCTGTGTCCTTGCGTGGCCGCCCCTCCTGCGTGTCTGTGTCCTCCTCTTTTAAGGACGCCGGTAGGTCAGGTCAGAGCCCACCCTGGTAACCTTGTTTCACCTTTGTCGCCTCTGTAAAGACCCTGTGTCTGAATACAGGCGGATCCTGAAGTCGGGACTTCACTCTGTGAATTTGGGGGACGCAGTGCAGCCCATAACCTTATCTTTTGTGTGTGTGTGTGTGTGTGTGTGTGTGTGTGTGTGTGTGTGTGTGTTTTAAATCTGTATGAGGGCTGATGGCAAAGCAGTTAGCTGTGTTGTGTAGACAACGCCGTGGCCAGAACAGAGCTTGTTCTCGGGCAAAAGGAGAGCGAGGAAGCTGAGCAGGGATGGCGTCCCAGAGGCCTCGGAGGCCCCGACATGGTCCAGGAGGCCCCAGGAAGGCTCTTGCTGTCCCTAAGCCCAGAGGTTTTCAGGGGTCTATGTGAATTGTCACTTTTTTTTCTTTTTCTTTCTCTTTTCCTTTTTTTTTTCTTTTTTTTTTTTTTTTTGAGACAGAGTCTCACTTTGTTGTCCAGGCTGGAGTGCAGTGGTGCGATCCTAGTTCGTTGGAACCTCCGCCTCCTGGGTTTATGTGATTCTTCTGCCTCAGCCTCCCCAGTAGCTGGGACTACAGGTGCCCACCACCATGCCCGGCTAATTCTGTTTTTGTTTTGTTTTGTTTTGTTTTGTTTTTTTAGGAGAGATGGGATTTCACCCTGTTGGCCAGGCTGCTCTTGAACTCCTGACCTTGGGTGATCCACCTGCCTCGGCCTCCCAAAGTGCTGGGATCACAGGCATGAGCCACCACGCCCGGCCCACATTTCCTTTTTTTAATTGGTAGAATCTATACAAAACACAAGGTTTACCACTTTAGCCACTTTAAAGAGCTCACTTGGTGTCCCCAAGGGCCCGTGGTGCCACCACTGCCAGTGCACAGGCCCGGCCCCTCCCCCGCCAGGCCTGTCTCTAAGGCCTTGCCCACCCACCCCTCCCCCTACCCAGGCCTGTCTGTCTCTAAGGCCCGCTGTGGCCACACGTGGACCCCACACCCTGGAGAACCTGGGCTTGTCCTTGGAGGAAGTAATAACAAAGAGCCCACCTGGTCGTGGATCCCAGCTCTGCACCAATGGCCGTGAGACCAGGGCCCCTGCCTCAGTTTCCTCATCTGTCAGTGAGCCTGGACCAGGGTAGTGAGGTAGTGTGGGAGGCCATTGCAGTCCTGGGCACAGCCCTGGGGGCCAGGAGACGCCTCCATCAGCCGTGGGCCCAGGCGCTGCCAGCAGCAGGGCAGTCCCTGAGGGTCTCCCCCGGAGCACTCCAGACCCCCTTCCCCTCCGGATCCCCGCACGCCTCCGCTCCTCAGCAGATGACAGGCCAGCTGCTCTCCTGGGCTGGTTCTGCAGCGCCGACTGAGGTGAGGGCTCCTGTGCAGGTGACACGAAGGAGGGATGTGCAGATGAGGGGACAGGTGAGGGGCAGGGCAGGGCCTCCCTTAACCCACCCCCTATGGCCCTGGCACAGAGGTTCCAGTACCTGCGCTCCAGGGGCAGGGCCTCCCTTAATCTGCCCCCCATGGCCCAGGCACAGAGGTTCCAGTACCTGGGCTCCAGGCAGAGTGTATCTAGCACCCCAGAGACCGAGGCGGGCTGTACCGTTGGCTGCTGGGAGCGAGAGCCCTGGCTGGGTAGGCAGGGGACGGGGAGGGGAGAGCATGAGGGGACCCTCCCAGCAGCCTCTGCATGCGGGCAGCCGGCCTGCCACCCTGGGCAAGCGGGAGGGGCTGCCTTGCCAAGGGACCCTCACAGATGAGGTGTGAGGGACAGAGACCCCCGACGGCTGCTGGAGGCACCCACGGGGCTCCCTGGAGCCTCCCTGTGGTCCTGGGTCCCCTTACCCGATTGTTGCAGGAGGGGCCAGCACAGGGCAGGTGCCTGAAGAGCAGGTGCCGGAAGAGCTACCGCAGCCCAGGCAGCAGGGGAGGAAGTCAGTCTCCTCGGGGGGGTTTCCAGACAGGGGCCGCTTTTGTTGAGGGCACAGAATGTCTCCAAAAGGTCGGTTCGTTATCACATGAGTCACCAGAGAGAGGGGGACGGAGAGAGGAACGCCGCAGCCTCCAGTTCCCCTTCAGCTCTGTGCCCAGGAGCAGTGGCTGGGTGAGGGTGGGAGCCAGGCTCCCCGAGAGGGCAGCAGCGGAGGCTGCACCGTCCCTGTCCTGCCTCTGCCCCTGCCCTGTCCTGCCCTGAGTCCCTGCCCCCTCCTTGTCCTGCCTCGTATCCCTGCCCCCTCCCTGTCTTGCCCCGCATCCCTGCCCTGTCCGTGTCCCTGCCCCTGTCCCTGCCCCTGCCCTGCCCCTCTCTGTCCTGCCCCACGTCCCTGCCCCTCTCCCTGCCCTGCCCCACGTCCCTGCCCCGTCCCTGTCTTGCCCCATGTCCCTGTCCCTGCCCCACGTCCCTGTCCCTGCCCCACGTCCCTGCCCTCATCCCTGTCCTGCCCTGCATCCCTGCCCTGCCCCTGCGCCTGTCCTGTCCCGTGTCCCGCCCCGTCCCTGCCCCTGTCCTGCCCTGCGTCCCTGCCCCATCCCTGTCCGTACCCCTGTCCTATCCCGCATCCCTGCCCCTGTCCCTGCCCCTGCCCTGCCCCTCTCTGTCCTGCCCCACGTCCCTGCATGGGTCCTGGGCCTCAGCACCAGGTTCTGGGCCCGCTTCCTTGCAGCCCCTTCCCCAGAGCCCACCAAAGACCCGAATCCTCACACTCTCGGGACAGGTAGCTGTGGGTGGCTGAGAGGGACTGGCCCCTCCCTGGCCAAGTCCACAATGTCAGGACCCTTGCTGCCCTCCTGCTTCGGGCTCAGCCCCAATGCCCCCGATTTGAAGTGAAGCTGCCCAGTGCCCTCTCTGGGGCCCTCCCAGGAGATGCAGGCTGGAGGGGCTGCCCTGGAAAGCCCTTCCTTTCCCTAGAGAGGTCCCCGCCCTGAGAGGGAAGGGCCCGGGCGATGATTCCAGGCTGGGAGGAGGAAGGCGCGTGCCAAGCGCTCCTCGGAGTTGATGCCCCATGGCGTAATGTGCAGCTGCTGCTGGAGAAGAGATGCAGGCAGATTACTGAACCCTGAGAAATGAAAAAGCATGATCGCGGTCTTGCCAGCATAGGCGGCCGTGGTCCGTGCTTGCAAGTCTGAGGGCGGAGGAGCCCGCCGCCCGCTTCTCATGGGCCCACCCCTGTGATCCAGCATCTGTAAAACTCCCTGGGAGGCCACAGCCTGCCCTGGCCCAGCCCCTGGGACCGCGAGGGCCGTGTGATACTTTCTCCAGTGGCATTTACAGAAAACTTCCCTCTGCCCTACCATTTTAGTTGGCTTTGGGATAGTTTGCAGTATTTCCTGATTAAAATAATGTTGAGAAGAACATTTGGGCCTCTGAGGCCTTTTCCCTAGGGTATTTTCTGAGAAATGACAGAGATTCAAGGGCTGTGAACATTTTGTAGCCATGTTGTGTTATAGAAAAGCATGTGCGTTCCCACATGCGGGCTGCTCTTCTGTGGGATTCTTCAGACTGGACATGCGGTGCGGGGCTGGACATGCAGTTGGGGGGGCTGGACACGCATTGGGGGGCTGGACACACGGCAGGGGGGCTGGACACGCGGGGGGGCCGGACACGCGGCGGGGGGGCCGGACACGCGGTTGGGGTGCTGGACATGCGGTGGGGGGCTGGACACGGGGGCTGGACACGTGGCGGGGGCTGGACACGCAGGGGGGCTGGACACAGCAGGGGGCTGGACACGCAGCAGGGGGGCTGGACACGCGGCAGGGGGCTGGACACGCGGCAGGGGGCTGGACACGCGGCAGGGAGGCTGGACACGTGGCGGGGGGCTGGACACGTGGCAGGGGGGCTGGACACGTGGCGGGGGGCTGGACACGTGGCGGGGGGCTGGACACACGGTGGGGGGGCTGGACACTCACTCGGGGCCTGGATACATGTGGAGGGTCTGGGCAGGCAGGGGCCTGTGTGTCAGGTGCCCATGGCATATGGTATGAGCCCTGCTTTTCTTTTCTTCTTTTCTTTTTTTTTTCGAGACAGAGTTTTGCTCTTGTTGCCCAGACTGGAGTGCAATGGTGCAATCTTGGCTCACTGCAACCTCCGCCTCCTGGGTTCAAGGGATTCTCCTGCCTCAGCCTCCCAAGTAGCTGGGATTACAGGTGCCTGCTACCACACCCAGCTCATTTTTGTATTTTTAGTAGAGACGGGGTTTCACCATGTTGGCCAGGCTGGTCTTGAACTCCTGACCTCAGGAGATCCACCGGCCTCGGCCTCCCAAAGCGCTGGGATTACAGGTGTGAGCCACCGTGCCCGGCTAAGCCCCGCTTTTCTAGATCTTGGGCTGGGGGAGAAAAAGGAAGCCGTTTCCTCTCCACTCCCAGGGCCCAGGGAAAGGGAGGTGGTCCTGGCCCCCTGGGGAGGGCAGGACTTTGGTTGTAGGGTTGGCCCCCAGAGCCAGGGGTGGAAAGGGTCTCCAGGGGAGCTGGTGGGTCCTTCCCCGCTGGGCTCTGCTCAGCCTGTGGTGGCCACGTGGCAGGGGCCCCATCCCAGACCTTCAGCCACTGCCAGCCCGGCCAGCCTGCGTCTGACGATGTCAGTTCTCTCGGGTTTCCTTGATCAGGCTTCCTCAATGCCCAGAGCTTTGGGATACTTCGTGGTGGCTCTCCGGGATCCAGGTGGCCACCGTCCTCCCTGGCTCTCCGTGTTGCCCACTCCTGAGGCCCTGGCTCCTGGATGCTTCAGCCTACGTGTGCCTCCTCGCTCTGTTTTCGTGGGTGCTACCCCTACGCAGGGCCCACCTCCTGGCTTCAGCCCCTGCCCACTCTTTGAGCAGGGGTGGATCTCCC
Organism: Homo sapiens; assembly: GCF_000001405.40. Taxonomy (NCBI): domain Eukaryota; kingdom Metazoa; phylum Chordata; class Mammalia; order Primates; family Hominidae; genus Homo; species Homo sapiens. The sequence continues at coordinate 5,099,112 of NC_000021.9, read as the reverse complement.
CAACACTCTGGCCCACACAGATGTGCTTGCGGCCAAATGACACAGGCGCGGCAGAGACTCTTGGAGCCTCTTCTTGAGGGGGACTCAACCTTGGGCTTCCATGTGCAACCCTGCCGAGTCCAACGGAGCAGGAACCCAGAGTCAGGTCAGAGAGAATCCCACCCCGATGTCTGAGCTCCAGGAGCAGATCAGACCTCAGTCCTCGACGCCTTCAGCAGGATGCCCCGGCCCTGCCGCACCCTCCTGGTGATTTTCCAGCCACGGACCCCCTCACTTCTCGGCTGTGAACCCCCCTTGTCCTGCTGCACCCAACATAGAGCCCGTCTCTCCCTCACTGCGGGAGTCCATAATGAAGTCTTCCTTGCCATTACGATAAGCACCAGGATAATTTTTCCTTAACAGGTTCTCTCTAGACTGGATCAGGGACAGTCTTGGCTGTAAATTGTGAATTAGCTGTGACTCTGCCACCCACGGTTGCCCGCCAGAGTTCTTTCTAAATGTTCTATCTGAGCCTGGCCGTTGCTGCTGGCTCTGGAGGTGCCAGAGTTTCTGAACGTTAATCTGAGCCTGGCCGTTGCTGCTGGCTCTGGAGGTGCAGTCACACCACCCTGGCTGACACGCCTCGGCCTGACCTGCAGTCTCACCCCACAGAAGGATCTGGGGTGAACGTCTGGCTCCAGGCACTGTTGCAGGGCTGTTGGGTCCTGTGTCTGAGCCCACAAAGGCTTCCTGGGAGCGGCATCGCCAGCCCTGTGGACCCTGCTCCCTATGGGCTTCTGGGTATAGATCAGGTGCCCAGCATGCGCCCCCAGACAGGAGCTCCCCTCTGCCCTGCCTCTGGGACCCACTTTCACCCAAGTCCTGTGGGACTGGCATAGCCTAGGGCCCGGGTGCTGGCAGCATCTGGCTGGAGCCTGGGGCGGGGCAGGGCAGGGCCTTCCAGGCGCGTTCCCGAGCGTGCACTGAAGGTGTTAGCGCGTGGCACCGGAGACACCAGGCTGGATGAGGCTGGACAAGCGCCTCCGCCAGAAGCAGCACAGGCCTGACACAGGCAAACCTCCCGGAGACCACCCCACGGACCCCAGCCCCTGCTGACCCTCCCAGGAGGCGTTGCTGGAAATCCACCCTGAGAATTCTGCTCCAGGAGCTGAACCAGCGGTATCAGCATCTTAAAGCGCTGACCTACCTCTCGGCTGTGTGATATCTAGGGGTCCGTCCCAGACCAGCATCCCCAGGGCTGACGGGTCTGCAGGGCACAGAGATGTGGGATCTGCTGTGTCTCTGCCCCACAGTGGCCATGCCGGGACACAGAGCTGCTGCTTGGGGAAGGGACAGATTCAGACACAGTAGTGGGTTAACCTGAGGCCCTCTCAAAAGACATGTCCACCTAGAACCTCGGGAAGGGACACGTCCGCCTGGAACCTCGGGAAGGGACGCGTCCGCCTGGAACCTCGGGAAGCGACGCGTCCGCCTGGAACCTCGGGAAGGGACACGTCCGCCTGGAACCTCGGGAAGGGACGCGTCCGCCTGGAACCTCGGGAAGGGACGCGTCCGCCTGGAACCTCGGGAAGGGACGCGTCCGCCTGGAACCTCGGGAAGGGATGCGTCCGCCTGGAACCTCGGGAAGGGACGCGTCCGCCTGGAACCTCGGGAAGGGACGCGTCCACCTGGAACCTCGGGAAGGCCTTTGCAGATGTGATCGAGTTAAGGATCTCAAGATTCAAGATAAGGTCACCCCAGGTTGCCTGCGTGGGCCCTGAGTCCAGTGGCGTGTCCTGGAGGGAGACCAGCAGAGGTGGAGGGCACGTCCATGGGCTGAGAAGGGCAGGACTGTGACAGGAGGGAGGTGCAGGGCGGATCCCCAGAGCCACTGCCTCCCCACGCTTGACCTCAGGCTCCTGGCCCCAGAACCATGAGGGAATAAACTGTCCTTTTAAGCCCTCTGCTGTGTGATGATTGGCAGTGCCAGCAATGGGAGCTGATACAGACCCTGATCGGGGACCCAGACACCTGGCAGCTTGGGCTGGGCCCCTTCGAGTTAAAGCTGGCCTTGCTGCTACCTGTCCCTCGCTGAGTCCTCGCTGCGCACTGTGGCTGCACCTGGCAAGCACAGGGAGCCCCTGGGGTCCTGTGGGTGCAGACATGGGTCCCTCGGTCTGGGTGGCTGAGATGGAGCCCCTCCCCAGCTCCGGGGAGCACTGGGCCGGGGACCACCCATGAGTGGTGAGTATCTCTCCCGCTGCACCTTGAGGTCACCCAGGAACCTTCAGAAGTGCTGATGCGGGGACCCCGCTCCCCACTGTCCAGGGTGGACTGGCTAGGCGGTGGCCTGGGCATCGGGACACATTACAGCTCTCCAGGGAGCGCGGTGTGCAGCCAGGATGGAACCCGTGGTCCTGGTGCTGAGGATGGCGGGTGCCTGCCTCCATCTCCGTGGGCCAGCCTTCGGGGCCCCGTTTCCTGGAGCAGCGAGGGCTTCACGTGGCTGTTGAGCTGCAGAAGGAGGGGCCCTCCCAGCACCCCATTCAGAGCCAGCGGAGGAATCTGAAGGCATGGGGAGGGCGGGGTGGAGCCGAGGTTGCAGAGAGGCTGGACCCTGAAGCCTCAGGAGTTCAACTGGCACGGGGTGCGGGGAGTGGCAGCCGGGAAGCCGGCCTGGGGCTTTCTCCTCTCGGCCTCCTTTGCTGGCGTCTCAGGTGGAGGGGCCTGTGTGGCAGGCGGGTGGCATGAGGGTGAGGGGCCTGTGTGGCAGGCGGGTGGCCTGAGGGTGAGGGGCCTGTGTAGCAGGCGGGTGGCCTGAGGGTGAGGGGCCTGTGTGGCAGGCGGGTGGCCTGAGGGTGAGGGGCCTGTGTAGCAGGCGGGTGGCCTGAGGGTGAGGGGCCTGTGTGGCAGGCGGGTGGCTTGAGGGTGAGGGGCCTGTGGGGCGGGCGGGTGGCCTGAGGGTGAGGGGCCTGTGGGGCGGGCGGTGGCTGCAGCGTGGAGATTGTTGTCAGCACAGAATTGTGGCACCAGTTGTTGAGACGCAGTGACAGGCAGATGACTGGCCAGGCAGTGACAGGCAGATGGCTGCCCAGGCAGTGACAGGCAGATGGCTGCCCAGGCCGCGGCCTTGTCTGCACCTGCCTGAGCATGCAGAGAGGCCCCCACACTGGTCACCCAGGGTCCGGGTGTGCCCACAGATGCTGCCCCCGCGCTGTGGGCAGCCCTGGCCCAGGCAGGTTCTCTGGAGCTGCTCCCGCCCAGTGCAGGCCGTGTGCAGGACCTTTGTTTATCCCCCTGGATGTTGAACTTGGCCAGCTTACGGCACTGAAACAAAGGCCCTGACTGCTGCCTGAACCCGCCCCGGGCTCACTTCCATGCCCAGGCCTGCGGGAGGGGCTGGGGTGTGCAGGAGAGTTGGGCGTTGGGAGGCCACCCCACCGCGTGCCTGCAGTGCCCTCTTCTCGGCCCCAGTCCCCAGCATATCCATGGGGTGCCTTCCAGTGTGGGTTTCGGGAACCTCCACATTCCAGCCTGGAGTCCTGGCCATGGGGAAGGGACGCCCACTGTGCTCATCCCGTGCGGCCGCCTCGTGCCCATCAGAGGCTGCACCAAACCCCGTGCGCCCTCTGGGCGATCAGAGCCGGAGGCCTCAAGTGGCCCAGCCCTGCTGGCTGCTGCGGGACCTCAGCTGCTGTGGGGCAGGCGTCTATGGGTTCCCAGGGCCCTCCCCTCCCCACAGGGGTGTGAGGAGGTGCAAAGGGGATGCCTCCTGGCCTGACCCCACGGCCAGACCAGTCCTGTGTGTCCTGAGTGAGGACGCCTATCCCTGAGCCCCAGAAACGCACCAGGAGGCAGGTGTGAGACGGCTGTGTCCCCAGCTCCTGCTGCAGTTGGCCCACAGCGGGCCCCTACGAGGCTGGGCGGTGAGGGGACGGCTCGGACCGCCCGCGCCCCAGGACCCCTGTGTCGGCCTCATCCTGCGCCTCAGCCCCAAACCCTGCAGCTCCCGGGACCCTGGCACCCGGTCACCCTCCACAGCGCCACGGGGCTCCTCTGACCCCACCCTTGTTGCCAGCCCAGCCGGAGTCTGACTTCTCCGTGGTGCCGCCCCCACCCCCGGGAATGACATGCCGGGGCGGTGGAGCCAGGCCCTGGGCCCGGGGGCAGGACAGGCAGGGACCATGAGCAGCTCCACAGAAACCCTTCCCCAGGGCTTCAGGGGCCAGGCGGGACCCCCACTTCCGGGAGGAGACCCCAGTGCCCCTCACGCTCAGGGGTGCGGTGGGTGGAGAGATTCGGAGGGGAGAGCTGGGGGCTCCGGAGGAGGGGCTGTGGGTGGGACCCCGTCCCCCTCTGGCTGCAGCAGGCAGTGAAGCTGCATCAGGGGCTCCACCCTGCTGACCACAGTCCTGGGGCACCCAGTGGAGGCCGGAGACACCAGCAGGTTCTCCTGGTCACATGGCCCCACCTGCCCTGTCCCCCAGAGCCCCCCAGGCTTGGGATGAGTTGCGAGGGGTCGGATGGACGGCGCAGGACACACGACACAGAGTAGTTGTGGCGGTTGCCCCTAGGGAGACGTGGAGAGAGGCCCCAGGGCACCCTGGAAGCGGAGGCTGTGGCTCCGTGTGTCCCAGGGCACAGCACCGCCCCTCACAGCCGAAGCTCTGATCCCTTGGTCTCAGGAAACACTCAGGAAGTGCAGGGCGGGCGTGGGTCTGATTTCAGGGTGAGGGAGCTGGCAGCCCCAGGAGTGAGGAGGCCCCAGTCCCCTTTCACCAAGCCCGTCCTCCCCTTCCCGCTGCCACGACACTGGTGCCTGCAGCCGTGCCAGCTAGGAGGGCGACGTGGACAGGATTTCTCTCTAGAAAGGATCCTGGGGTCCGATTGAGAAGCTGGCTTGAACGTTAGACGCTGTAGCTCAGAGCACTGGGTATGCACCCAGAAGGAGAAGTGCTCATCACATGGTAATTCTTTTGTTTTGTTTTTTTAAGAAAAAGGTCTCACTCTTTGCCCAAAGCAACTTTCTTATTTATCTTTGCATCCTAAGAGTCTAAAACAATGACTGGCATGAAGTATACAAACTATACATCGCCTAGTAAGTGGATAAAACGATTAATTAATTTGCCCAACATTCAAAACGTGATGGGGTGGGATTCACAGCCATGACTTCTCATTGCAACGCTCAAGCTCCTTGTGCTGCTCCACGCCGCCTTTCGGTACACGAGAAGCTGAGGATCCACGCCGCCTTTCCGTACATGAGAAACTGTAGGATCCACGCCACCTTTCAGTAGAGAAGCTGTAGGATCCACACCGCCTTTCCGTACACAAGAAGCTGTAGGATCCACGCCGCCTTTCCGTACACGAGAAGCTGTAGGATCCACGCCACCTTTCAGTAGAGAAGCTGTAGGATCCACGCCGCCTTTCCGTACACGAGAAGCTGTAGGATCCACGCCACCTTTCAGTAGAGAAGCTGTAGGATCCACACCGCTTTTCAGTACACGAGAAACTGTAGGATCCACGCCACCTTTCAGTACACGAGAAACTGCAGGACAAATGACCGTATGCCCAGGTTCCAATGGCAAAACGCCACACCTCTTATGATACTATCTTTGTGCACATAAAATGTTCATTTTTGTCTAATAAATAAGTGACTTGTAATTAGTAAGTGATTGCTCAATGACTTAAAACCTACAATATCTCTAATTTCTTCTAATGGAAACTTCTGAGGCCATTTAGGGACATCCACAGATAGCGAACAGCGACATTGGAAAGAGGACATTGAGTGTGGGGAAGTCTGCACAGTTCCACCTGTTGGATTGTTTGATGTGTGGTGGTGCAGACATGGACACGATCCATCTTGGTTTTTTTGTTTTGTTTTGTTTTTGAGATGATGTCTCACTCTGACACACAGGCTGGAGTGCAGTGGCTCGATCTCGGCTCACTGCAAGCTCCTCCTCCCAGGTTCAAGCAATTCTCCTGTCTCAGCCTCCTGAGTAGCTGGGACTACAGTCACATGCCACCATGCCCGGCTAATTTTTGTATTTTTAGTGGAGACGGGGTTTCATCATATTGGCCAGGCTGGTCTTGAACTCCTGACCTCAGGTGATCGGCCCGCCTCGGCCTCCCAAAGTGCTGGGATTATAGGCGTGAGCCACCGTGCCTGGCCAACACTATCCATTCTAAAGAGGGTTCATGCTCTTCGACCCCAACAAAGAACGGTTTCCTTTGCGGTCGTGGATGGGTAAGAAATCAGCCTTGACCACCTAAGGGCGTAGCAGGGCTTCTGCATTAGGTGACAATTTTAATAATCCTCTGTTTTCCGTTCACACTTAGGAGTCTGTTTCTGCCCTGGGACGAGGACCCAGAGGCCACTTTGACGTTATAGAGCAGGCTGTGTCCTCCGTCATCCTGCTGTAGGGAGTGTTGTCAGCTTTCCCACCACCACTGGCATCTGGAAAGCTTGGTCTGTTTGTAGTGACAGGTCCGATTGCAGGGAACCAGGAGCGTGTCTGATGCATGAGGGCAGAGTTTCTACCCAGTTACCTGCAGTGTGGAGACGAGAGACGCGATCTAACCCTGCAAACACTTTTGAAAAAAAACTAGTGTATAAAAAGGAATTAGGGAATCAAACCTTTCTTAAGGGGCACAGAATAAGACAGTATACACCAGTGTGACCGAAGTTTTTATTTCTGCTGAAGAATTCAGCTAAAGTGCAGCTGCATGATCATAGCTCACGGGAACCTGGGTCTCCTGGGCTCAAGCAAGCCTCCCAGCCCAGCCTCCCACGTAGCTGGGACTACCGGTGGCCATCACCATGGCTGGTTAAGTTTTCATTTTTTTGTAGAGACAGAATTTTGCCATTTTGCCCCGGCTGGTTGCGAACTCCTGGCTTCAAGTGATCCTCCTGCCTCGGCCCCCAAAGTGCTGGGATTACAGGTGCCAGCCACCGCCCCTGGCCTGGCAGTTCTATTTGAATTGTTTTAGGGACTGCCATCCTGCTTCCCACGGTGGCAGCACTGTTTTACACTCCTGCCAGCAGCACCCAAGGGGTCTGGTTCTCCACATCCTTGCCCGCACTTGTGATTTTCTGTGTTTTGATAATAGCCATCCCGATGTGTGCGTGTTGTGAAAACTGTGATGTACGTAGAAAAGTGTAAAGAATAAGAGTGTGGACGCCCAGCCCGTCCCCTCAGGAAACGCTTGAAAGGCACCCAACCTCTTTCAGGATCCGTGTTCCATTCGCATTATTTTTTCATGCGCCATTTTTGAACACAAGTTGCAGACATTTGAACACTGGCCCTAAAAACATCAATCAGCAAACTTCTGGGAATGAGGACACTCCCCGCGTCGCCGCCATCACAACAAGGCCTTCGGAAAACTCCACACAGCATCTAGCCTCCCACTCGCGCTCGGATGTCCCAGGTGCCCTCACTCGGTGCCACGCCTTGCCTTTCTGGAATCGTGCCCCAGCTTGTTAGAGTGGCACTGACTCTGCTGGGAGGATGTCCTGCCACCGGGGTTTGTCTTTTATAACAACTTGTCCCTCCTTCCCCTCCCTGGGTTTGTGATAACCTGGAGGTTAAACCTTAGAGCAGCCGCTCTTCACCTGGGGACTTTGCCCCAGGAGGCGTTGGCCAACTCTCTTGTGCCTGGAGGAGGAAGGCAGATTGTGCCTGGAGGGGAGAGGCTACGGGACGGAGCGGAGCGGGTTAGGTGCTCTGCCCAGTTCTCCTGCTTCTGCACGTCTCTGCCGCCTCTGCCTCCCTGCTCATTGCCCTCTCTGTTCCCGGCCTCTCCTCTCACCCTCAGAGTAAATGTCACATCCCAGAGGGCCACTGGTGCTCAGGCCACCTCTCACCCTCCCAGCCTGCTGTAACCTGGACCCCCAGTTTCCCCCATCTGCCCTGCCCAGGCCCCTCAGCTCCACACCCAGGACCCCAGGCCTGACACTCTTGGGTGTGGCTGCACGCCTAAGGGCAGAGGGCTTGGGTAGGGGGTAAGCGGGGGCTGTGGCCCTGCTGCCCCCGCTGCCTCAGTGGGAGAGGCCCTGTGGGCAGCCTGAGAGCCGAGGCCTCAGTGGTATTTCCTGGGAGGGCAGCCCCCAACCTCCTGCACCCACAGAGGGGCTGGAGCAGGACACAGGGTCGCTGGCCCCGTCCTCGGGAGCACCACAGGGCACAGGCCTGGCCTGGCCCGGCCATAGCCCAGAGCTGACCTTTCCTTGTTGACTTGTGGTCCGGGACTTTCCAGGACAGGCTTCTTGCCACAGAGAAGGCTCCCGGGGAAACCCCAGGAGTGTGAAAGTGGAGCAGCCCAGGTCCCTGCCCTAGAAGAGCCACCAGGAGCCAGGACACCCCCTCCCGGGGACCCCTCCCACCCTCCAGCCCCAGCTTGACCCCAGACCTCTGCCCTCAGCCCCCTGGCTGTGTCTGAGCACCTCTGCCCCAGGGTCTTTGCACGGACCGTTCTGCCTGGAAAGTTCTTCCCGAGATCTGCTGAGGCGGCTCCTCCTCGGCCGCACGCTCCCTGAGGCTTCTCACCCGCGCACACACGGGCACCGCCTGCCTCCCGGTCTCCTCTCCCCAGAACCTTAGCTCCAGGGTGCAGGGACTCGCCCACGTGGTTCCAGCCCAGGGCCTGGCCCGAGCAGGTGCTCCCTCTGTGCTTGTTGAATGAAAGCGAAGTGACCAACAGCACAGACTTCTTCCGAGGAAGAGAGAGAGCAGAGAGCAAAGCAGAGGCCTGAGGGACCCTGTGACCCCCAAGCCCACCTGGCTGGTTCCCTGCAGACAGCCCTGGCTCCTGCACTGCTGCCTCTCCCCGCCAGGGACCAGGCCCCCACCAGCCAGGAGCCCGGGACACGTCCATGTTCTGGGACTTGACCTTCGTCTCCCCACAGCCTGCATTTCCACCCTGCCTGGCCGCAGCTCTGGTTGGTGGGAAGGGGCTCCAGGCGGCCCCGCTCTGCTCCGGTACGTGCAGACATCTGGTGTGCAGTGACCTTCATCCCAAGCAAGGCCTAGAAAGGGGGAAATCGAGGCAGCATAGAGAGCCGGCCCAGGGCAGCCTTCTGGGCTGGAGCATGGGGGTATGAGGGGGCTGCCGGTGTGGTGTGGGTGGCCCGTCCCCTGGTGATGAGTGTGTGGGATGGCGCTCAGCCTCTGCCTCTGCGGCCTGCTCAGTGGGCCCTCCCACTCCCTGGAGACGTCTCTGTGTGCTTGTGTTACCAGAAAGGAGTCCTGATCCAGACACCAAGAGAGGGTTCTTGGACCTCACACAGGAAGGAGTTCAGGGTGAGTCCAGAGAGTCAAGTGAGAAGTTTATTAATAGAGTAAAGGAATAAAGAATGGCTACTCCAGAGGCAGTGCGGAGGGCTGGGCTGCTCAGCTGAATATTCTTATGCTTATTTTGGTCATTTCTTGATTATATGTTAAACAAGGAGTGGATTATTCATGAATTTTCTGGGAAAGGGTGGTCAATTCCCAGAACTGAGGCTTCCTCTCCTTTTTAGACCGTGCAGGGTAACTTTCGGACGTTGCCATGGCATTTGTGGACATGGCGCTGGTGGGAGTGTCTCTTAGCAGCTAATGCATTAGAATTTGTGTATAATGAGTGGCGAGCACGACCAGAGGTCACTCTAGTCACCATCTTGGTTTTGGTGGGATTTGGCCACTTCTTTACTGCAACCTGCTTTATCGGCAAGGTCTTCGTGACTTGTATCTTGTGCCAACCTCCTGTCTTGTGACTAAGAATGCCTTACCCTCCCGGGAACGCAGTCCAGCAGGCCCCAGCCTCATTCCACCCAGCCCCTATTCAAGACGGAGTCGCTCTGGTTCAAACACCTCTGACAGTTGGACAAGTTGGTGACAGCCAGGAGGGCCCGATGTGGACATGTGACAGGCACCCTGTGGCCATCAGATTCTCAGGAGGAAGAAATCCCCTTCTGAAATAAAGCACCCTGAGAACCGGCGGGAAGGAGCGGGGACTCCGTCGGGGCTTTCCAGGGAAGCAGCCAGGGACTTGCCCTGATTTTGGTTTCTCCAGGTTGGAGCCGCCCCGCAGGCTGCCTCTGCCGGCGGGAGGAAGTGAGCAGCTCCTGCGGAACCTCTGGCTGGCACAGAGCCCGGGGGCGGGGGAGCCCTCCCTGCCAAGAGAAGCCATCAGGTGCAGAGGACAGCACTGACTGGGCCAGTGGGGCGTTCTCCAGCTGGGTCAGCCGTGGCCCCCGCCTCGGGCTGGAGTCCGGCAGGCAACTGCTGCAGAAACGGAGGCAGAGGCAGGTGGAGGAGCCGCCTCCAGGCGGAGGAGCCCCAGCAAGATGGGGCGCTGGAGTTGAGCTCAGGCTGTCAGCCCCAGAATCCAAGCTCCTTGCCCTCGTGCTAACCCAGCCTCACTAACTGGCAGCTGGGGGCACCCTCCCAGCCTGCCAGGGACACCACACTGGGCACACACCACTTCGGCTGCAGGACCCCATCCTCACTGGCTGTGGCGGGAGACTGGTGAGCCGTCCTTGTAGACGGGACTCCCCCTAGAGTCCTGAAGGACTGTCCTGGGGGCTGGGGAGCTGCTGGAGGCAGCAGCCTGGGCCAGGAGATCACTGGGGTGGTGAAGGGGAGAGGGTTAGGGCTTCGGTAGGGGGACCCCCTATAGACCAGACAACGGATTCCACAGCCACCACCCCCACCCCTGGCTGACCTCACCTTCTGCAAGGGACCCAGTCCTGGACAGGGTCACTGAATTGCTGCCCCCTAACCTGTCCCCACCCACTGGAGACCTCAGCCTGCCCTGCTCACCCTGGCACCGGCCAGCCTGTCCACGCTGGGTGCCCAGGGCGGGAAAACAGGTGCGGGTTCCCATGACTGCATCTCAGGACTCCTGTCTGCGCCCCTTCTTGGCGTGTCTTTAAATGTCTTTGTTAGGCCGCTCATTATGATCCCTCCTGTTTTAATGGAAAAATCTTGTAAACACTGGGAGGACCAGTGGTCTTTTTCTTTCTTAAATAGAGATGAGGTCTCACTATGTTGCCCGGGCTGATCTCAAACTCCTGGCCTCCAGCGATCCTCCTGCCTTGACTTCCCGAAGTGCTGGGATTCCAGGCGTGAGCCACTGGGCCCGGCCTAAATTCTTCTTCTGTACTTGCTGGTTTTCCCAAAATGTGCACACACTGATGTTAGAATCGGAAAGAGTATCACTCCTGTGACAGCAGTGGGAAGGTGTGTGTTACAGCCACAGGTGTCCACAGGATAGAATCTCACAGCAACAGACGTGCTAATGTGGGCACTGGAGGTTGCACCCTATACCGGGCACTGCCCATCCCTCCCCAGTTCCCAGACCAGCTACGCCAGGGATCTGGAGTCCCCTTCCATGAGTGTGACGAGGACAGGTGAGGTCTCCTGAGTCCTTACCAGCAGGTCAGGCACCCTGTTGAGTCGTCTTCAGAACCCTCAAAAGTGCACGCCCCTGCCCTGTGGGTCTGGGCCACGATCCTGGGACACAGTTCTGAATGCTGACATCCTGAAAGATCAAAATCCCAAAATTATAATTCTGGAAAAACTAATTCGAAAACATTCTGTAAAAGACATTTGTTTGGCCGGGCGCGGTGGCTCATGCCTGTAATCCCAGCACTTTGAGAGGCCGAGGCGGGTGGATCACGAGGTCAGGAGATCAAGACCATCCTGGCTAACACAGTGAAACTCCGTCTCCACTAAAAATACAAAAAATTAGCCGGGTGTGGTGGCGGGCGCCTGTAGTCCCAGCTACTCGGGAGGCTGAGGCAGGAGAATCGCTTGAACCTGGGAGGTGGAGGTTGCCCTGAGCCGAGATTGTGCCACTGCACTCCAGCCTGGGCAACAGAGCGACTCTGTCTCAAAAAAGAAAAATAAATAAATAAATAAATAAAATACATTTATTTATTTATATTTTAAGGGGGATTTGAGAAACTGAAAAACACGACAGCACCCCTCATAGGCGACTTTACCCAATAAAGTCGGTGATCATAACATTTTCTCCAGCACAGACACACAGGTGTGCTCATTCAGTCACGTGGATATGAGTTATGTGCAGATGAACCATTCACAGAGAAACTGGTCAGAACACCAACATGTTAGGTTTTGATCTTTCAGGAGCTCAGGATTTGGGATGACGGTGTTCGGGGTCAGGTCTTTTGAGGTTCTGATCAGCGCCGCCTCACCGCGCGATACCAGTGCAGAACGGGGAGACCCAGGTCGTCCAGGAGCTGGACTCCAGCCGGGACAGTCTGTCTGTGTCAGAGCCCGGGTCCCTCATGGGGCACTCAGCCTTCACTCGGGTTTCCTGCAAAAATGGAGAGCTTTTTTTTAAGTAGGGATGCCAAGGATGGCAGGCATGAAGCGGGCAGGCAGAGGTGGGAGCTAGTTAGCAGTATCTCCAATTACCGTGATGGGCAGAAAGAAGGTTCTAGACAACAGTGTCTTGATGAGGTCAAGAGGAACTGAAACCCCCACCCCACTTCCCCTGCCCCATCTGGTTCTGGGAAAGGGGAAATGCAGGTGCCGGCTGTGCGTGGGTCAGTGGCCCGCCCCCGCCTCTCTGCCTCGCGGACGTCCAGACTTCCGAGGCCTGGCTGTCTGCAGGGCGGCCATTGCTGTGCGCGCGCGCGCGGGCATGTGCATAGTTCAGGGAAGAGGCTGCATTTCACAGAGACTCTGTCCCAGGAGGTAGGCATTTTTTCTTTTCTTTCTTTCCTTCCTTCCTTCCTCCCTTCCTTCCTTCCTTCCTAACTTCCTTCCTTCCTTTTTCTTTCTCTCTCTTTTCTTTTCTTTCTTTCTTTTTTTTTGACAGAGTCTTGCTCTATCGCCCAGGCTGGAGTGCAGTGGCGTGATCTCGGCTTATTGTAACCTCCACCTCCCAGGTTCAAGCAATTCTCGTGCCTCAGCCTCCTGAGTACCTGGGACTAGGGGTACGCACCACCACGCCCAGCTAATTTTTGTATTTTTAGTAGAGATGGGGTTTCACCATGATGGCCAGGCTGATTTCGAACTCCTGGCCTTAAGTGAGCCTCCTGCCTCGTTCTCCCAAAGTGCTGGGATTACAGGCGTGAGCCACCATGCCCAGCCGGCATTTTCATCTGGACTCTGCCATGGGGCTCAGCAAATCAGATGTGACCTGGTGACAGGTGCCAAGAAGGTCTGGCGACCACAGGTTTCTTGTCGGTTTCTGCCTGGGACCCCTGCACCTCCCTACCAGTATTCCCAACCCAACGAAAGACCGGCCAAGTACAAACCAAGGGCAGCCCTGAAGCCCAGGACCATGAGGCCTGGAAGGCCCCAGGACAGGTGATTTGTGGCCCTGGTGTCTCAGGTCAGGAGCAGGGCAGAGCCACCTTCCTCCCTCCCTGTGCGGGGCTGCATGAGCTCAGGGACCTTTGGACCTGAGAAAGGTCAGGCTCACTTCCTCCCCGTGCCTGCGGTTGGCCGCAGGGGGAATATTCTCCTGACCCGAGTCCTGAAGCCCTGGGCGTGGAGTTTCCCTGGACTGGGAGAAAGTAAACACCGAGGGACTTGCCAAGAGGAAATGGAGAAGCCCAGGTGTTCTGGGCGGAGCTGAGTGTCCCGCAGGGGGTTCCGCAGCTCCTCGCCTCTGGAAGACCAAGGACAGCTTTCCCCAGGGCTACAGCCTCACGCTCCCCTCCCATCGTGGCTGGGCCTTTACTTGGGGGTGAGTGTCCTACAGACGAGGGGCTTAAAGCTACAGGAATGCCTCGTCTCGCAGAGCTGGAGGCTGGAAGGCAGATCGGCCTGTGAGGGCCGCGGTCACTCTTGGTCCTGAGCCCTCCTTGTCCGGCTGCTGGTGTCACGGGCACTCCTTGGGGTTCCTTGGCTTGTGGGAGCATCGCGCCGGCCCCGCCTCTGTCATCAGGCCGCCTCCCCTTCTCTTCTCGAAGGACACCTGCTACGGCGAGGGCCTCTCCAGGATGACCTCATCTCGTTCTCCACTAATCACAGCTGCAAAGATTTATTTCCAAATAAAGTCGCCTTCTTGGGTTCCAGGGGACCTGATTTTGGGAGGCGCTGTTCCCCCAGCACAGGGATACAGCAGGCCCTTGGCCTCATCGGACATCTGGTGCCCGCGCGCCCTCTCACTCACGTTGTCCAGGCCTCTGCCCTTCTCAACACCCGGACGTGGGCGTTCAGGTGTCCTTCCTGCCCTGGCGTATGCCCCACTTAGCTGAGTGGGGGGCTTAGACCTCCGCCCCATCTGCAGTCCTCCTGGGGCCTGCCAATCAGACCCCCTGCAGCTGCATGGTCTTGGGGCATTGCTGTAAGGCCCTGGGGCCTTTCTGAATCCATCTGCAAGCTGGAGCTGAGTCCAGGAGCTGAGGCCGGGAGCAGGAGGTGAGGTTGCTAGCTGAGGCTGGGAGCAAGAGCTGAGGCCACTGGAGCTGAGGCTGGGAGCTGAGATGTGGAGCTGGGGCTGAGGCTGGGAGGAGGGGTTGAGGATACCTGGAGTTTGGGAGCTGGGCTGAGAGGCCAGGGAGGAGAGCCCTGCCACCACCCTGCTGCCCCCCCTCGCCACCCCCCTGCTGCCACCTTGCTGCCACCCTGCCTCCTGTTCCCAGCCCTCTGGCCAGTCCCTGTGTTCGTTTTCTGTTTTCTACTTACCAGAAACTTAGCAGCTTGAAACAGCACCCGCTCGGCACACATTCCTGTTGGGAGTGTGAAATGGTGCAGCTGCTGTGGGAAATGGTCTGGTGATTCCTCGCAAAGCTAAACAATTGCCATAGCACCCTGCAGTTCCACACCTGGGGATGCACAGCCAGAAATGAAGACGGGTGTCTGAGCAAAAACTCGGACATGAGTGTTCACAGCAGCGTTATTCACAGTAGCTAGAAGGTGGAAACAACCCAAGTGTCCGTGGACCGAGGAACAGATCAACAGGCCACGGCGCACGCACGACGGAGTATTGTGCAGCCAGAAAAAGGGTGAAGCTCCCTTACACATTATGGCGTGGGTGAGCCTCAGAAACATGGTGCTAAGTGACTGCGTTTATATAAAAAGCTTGCACTGATGTAAAGTGTCTAGAGTAGAGAAACCCAGGAGATGAAGTGGATTCGTGGCTTCCAGGGCCTGAGGGCAGAGGGAAGGGACCGGCTGCTGATGGGTCTCCGTTTGGGAAGATGAACGAGTTCTGGAGCTTGCTTGAGGCAGTGTCTGCACAACAGTGTGAGTGCACGGAATGTGGCTGAATTGGACTCTTTAAAATAGTTCAGGTGGGCAATGTTATGTTATGTGTGTTTTACTACCATACAAATAAGTAAATAAATGGACAAGCCTGCACCATCTTGTAGCTCACACCTGCAGGTCAGGAGCCGGCCTGGGTCCCCTGCTGGGGCCTCACCTGGGGCTCAGGCCTCCTCCCAGGCTGGTTCAGAATCCAGGTCCTTGTGGGTGTGGGACTGAGGTCCCCGTTTTCTCGCAGCTGTTGTCAGGGACTGCCCTCAGCTCCTAGGGCTTTCTCTCGGGTCCCTGCCTGGTGGCCTCTGGTGGCCCCTCCATCTTCAAGCAGCAGGGGCCGGTGGAGTCCCCCCATGAGTGGCTCTTTCTGGCCATCCCTTCTGCACCCGCCAGAGGAAACTCCGCTTCTAAAGTGTTGGTGTGATGAGGTCAGGCCCGGAGGCACCTCCCTGTTTTAAGGTCAGCGGGTTGGTGAACTTCACCATGCCTTCAGAATCCCTCTGCCACACAACACAGCCGTCTTGGGAGTAACACTGGAGGCAGAGACCACGGGCGACCTCCAAGATCTGCTTACAACAGTCGTTTCGACAGAGTTGAGTCAGCTTGGGGCTTCTCCGAGTGACTGTGCACAGGGGTCCTGGGGCTTCTCCGAGTGACTGCGCGCAAGCGTCCTGGGACTTCTCCAAGTGACTGCGCACAGGCATCCTGGGGCTTCTCCGAGTGACTGCGAACAGGCGTCCTGGGGCTTCTCTGAGCGACTGCGCACAGGCGTCCCTGGGGTCCCTGGGGTTAGGATGCTGGCGCTGGCTCAGCAGGTCTGGGAAGGGCCAGGATTCCAGTGCCCAGGCTACCGTCCAGGTCCACACCATGCCCCAATGGACGCTCTCCAGCCCCTCCCTGAGGCTGGGGCCATGGGATGAGCTCAGTGGCATCCAGATCAGAGTCCACCCCCTCCACACCTTGCCATGGTCCTGATGTCACCAAGTGCATTGTAGCCCTAACCCTCGTGGACCCCCCTTCATGGGGTGGTGCAGGCAGCGTGTTCTCTGAGGGTAAGGACAGGGCCCAACAGGGGCTGCCCCAAGGAGCCAGTGGAGCCATGGTTCCCCACCTGCCCACTCGTCTGCCCACCCTCCCCTGAGTGGAGGCAGAGGAGCTGAGAACGGCCTGCCGGCCAGCCCTGGGAAAACCAGGTTCCTTATGGTCTGCTCAGCCATAGAGCCGGAGGCCCCTCCCAGCAGCCCCTGCCTGCCCACTCTGCCAGAGCTTCTCCATGCAACTTTTCTGCAGCATAGTCCTGTTGCACAAACACCTCTCTCTGCTTTTTCCTTTCTTTTTTTTTTTTTTTAATTTAACCATATCTGCTGTATCATACAAGCACTCAGGATCTTGGTTGCAATGAATGGAAACCTATGCTAAATAACTTTCTCAGAGGGCTCTTGGGGCTCTGGAAACCAGACAGAAGGCTGGAGAATGAGGGCTGGGCATAGGCAGGTCCAGGGAGGCCAAGAGGGCAGCCTGGCTGTGAGGCAGCTGCTGGTACAGCCCAGACTGTCCCTGCTTCTGGGTCACTTGCTCCAGACCCAAAGTTCTGCCCAGGAATGTCTGGTGGTCAAACTCCAGCCATGTGGCTCCCTCTTTTCAGAGGTGAACTCAGTCTTCACTGATAAGGGTAAGGTTCCTGGTGAATCCTGCAGCTTGAATGTCCATCCCCATGAATCCGAGCTGAGCCTGCAGGGCTCCCAGCCCCAGGCCTCCACGGAGAGGAGATGAGCCAGCCCTGCTGAGCCCTGCCCAAACTGCACATGCGTGAGTTAAAGAAACGGCTATTACTGTTTAAAGCCATGCAGTGTTGGGCTGGTTTGTTAAATTGAAATAGATTACCCAGGCTAGGTGCAGTGGCTCACACCTGTAATCCCAGCATTTTGGGAGGCTGAGGCGGGTGGATCAATTGAGGTCAGGAGTTTGAGACCAGCCTGGCCAACATGGTGAAACCCCATCTCTACCGAAAACTATAAAAAATTAGTTGGTATGGTGGCATGCACCTGTAATCCGAGCTACTTGGGAGGCTGAGGCAGGAGAATCACTTGAACCAGGAGGTAGAGGTTGTAGTGAGCCGAGATCGTGCCACTGCACTCCAACCCCAGTGACAGAGTGAGACTGTCTCAAACAAACAAAAATCACCCAACACCACAGATGATCATCAAGTTCATGAAGACGGACCTTCAGTTTGCAGGGGCTGTGTGTCCATTTCATTGGCTTGGGTCTCCTTTTTTATCCTCAAGGGACTCCCAGGTGTTCCGATGCCCTGGCACTGAGGACTCAGGCCATGCCCTGGCCCACACCCTGCCCTGCATGTGTTGCAGCCTGAAGTGGTCCACTGGGCCTGGCATGTCTCAAAAGCCAAAAGGGAACAATGCTTCCCGGCTCCACATTCAGTGACAGCACGTCAGCAGCTGGAAGCCAGCATCAGTGGGGGTGTTTACACCATGGGAATGGGCCCACTCCACAGACTAGCGCTGTACCAAGAGAGCCAGTTTGGTTTCTGGGGGTCGTGGGGTTAGGTCCTCATGCTTCTCTCGGACCCACCCCCTAGAAATGTCCCCACCCAACCCCCACTGTAGCCTGGATGGACGGGGATGAGCTCTGCGGGGCTCCCGCCTGAGCCATCTTGTCTTCAGCTGCGTTTGGGCTCTGAGCTCCAGCCATGCTGGCTCCATGACCCAGGATGGGATTCATGCACTAACGTGAAGAGAGCAATCTCCTGAACAGAGGAAGGAGTGGGCCCTGGAGGAGCCGTGGCCCTGGGTGGTGGCACCAGGCAGCTGCAGGACCAGGGGCAGCGGTGAGGCACGAAGCCTCAGACTGGGTGTGGTTCCCACTCGTTCTTGCCGGAGAAACCTGCCTTTTCAAGCATAATTCAATCAAAAGGCCTTTTGTGGAGCCCAAACTAGAAGGCTTTGGGTTCCAGCACTGTGCCTCAGTTTCCTCATCTGGAGCATAAGGATGGGACCGTCACTGGGTGTAGATGTGGGGTCCCGGGAGGCGTGCAAGGGCCATGTTTGGGCAGGTGCCTGGAATGGAGGAGGCCTTGGTAAGTAAGCATTCATGAGCGAACCTCCCCTCTGCCGGCTCACATGTCCCACTCCCTCACATGTGGGCCAGTGTGTTGTCACCCTCTCTGCAGTGAGGAAACTGAGGCCCAGCCCAACGGCAGAGCCAGCCCAGCTGTCTGGGCAGCCCGACTCCAGAGCCGGGCAGGGAATTGCCTCCTTTCACGTTCAGGGTGACTATGCCAGTGCTCACAGTGACGGGTGGGCCGGGGCCAGCTGGCCTAGGGTCTGCCTTGCCATCTGGCGACACCATATCGCTCTTCCATCCTGGCATTTGGATTTTGTTACCAACAGCTTCACCAAACCGCCTTTCATGACACCCAGGACAGCCACGAGGCTGCCCCTGCCCCTGCCCTGCCTCAGTGGGACTCACAGCAGCTCAGAGGCTGGAGGGAGGTCTGGAAGCCCCTAGTGCTCAGTAGAGCAGTGAGATGGGGAGAGAAGCAGCTGGGGAAGGAGGCCAGGTGAGCCTGGTGGGAGGCCTCTCAGTTTCTGCACACTTGGGAACATTCCAGAGTGACTGGCATTTCCCATGACTTTCTCTGGGATGAAGTGAGGCTGAGAATGTGAAGTTCCCAAGGGTTACAGACGCTTACTGTTGCAGACACAAATGACTACGCATTCCATCACGGGACAGTTTTCCTTTGGAAAGAGAATGACCCAATTTCCTTTTTTTCTAAAACTTAAGTCATTCTGCCAAATTTCAACATCCTAATTTTAAATCACTGGTAGAACCTCGATCCTGAAGTCTATCTTGGCCTCACTACAAGACCCCCAAAGAGCCGTCATCCCTGATAAGGTGGTTTTAAGTTTTAGTGATTGTTATTTTGCAATTCTTAGATTTTATTCACAAAATCCACGTGGACTCAATTCTAGCTCAAGCCATCTCCATGTCCCCGGCCACCACTGCCTGCCTGCCCTTCCCTGTTTATGGGTCTTTGTTTGGAGTCACCTCTTGTTTGCCTCAAATAATTAATTTTGAGTTGCTTTTTCGGGAAGGAAATGTTCTTGGTGCAATTTCTGGCCTCTATGTAGCTGAGAATGTTTTTTCTGTTGCCTGGACTGGTGCAGCGGGTCTCCCTATAGTGACCCGGCCAAGCACAGAAGTCTGGGTTTGCAGCTGTGAGACTCCAGACATCACCCCATGGTCTCCTGGCGTTGGTGGGTTTGCAGCCATGAAGCTCCAGCTGTCGCCCCATGGTCTCCTGGCATTGGTGGGTTTGCAGCCATGAAGCTCCAGCTGTCGCCCTGTGGTCTCCGTGGTCTCCTGGCACAGGATGCTGCTGGGCTACTCAGTTTCTCTCTGTGCTTGTCTGGTGTTTTATGCTTGAAGTGGAAGATTTCCACCAGATTCATTTTCATTAATTTTGCTTGTCCCCGTGAGCCGTTTGATTAAATAGATTCAGATCTGTCTTCATTCTAGAAGTTCCTTCTCTTACATACTCTATGGCTGCACCGTTCCGGTTGTTCGAGTTTCTTTATCTGGAAAATTGCTCCTTCGCCCAGCAGGTTTCTGGCTTCCGTCCTCCATGTCTGCTTTCTCTCTCCTCATCTCTGCCTTCCTCCTCCCTGGGGCATGGGGTGTGGGGCGTGGGGCTGCCGCCGCCTGTGTCTCGGCCTCCTGGTCCGGCTCTGTGCTTGTGGGTGCTGTTCCTTCAGCTCCCAGTGCCTTGAAAGCTGCCGCTGGGTCTCTCCTGAGATCACCTCCTCACACCTGCCCTCAGCTAATTCATGCCCATCCACCAGCTCCTGTTCCATTCCCGTCTGTTTCATCTGATGTCCCACCAGCTCCTGTTCCATTCCCATATATTTCCTCTCACCAGCTCCTGTTCCATCCGCATCTATTTCATCTATTTCATCTGACTCCTCACCACCTCCTGTTCCATTCCTGTCTATTTCATCTGACGTCTCACCAGCTCCTGTTCCATTCCCGTCTATTTCATCTGATGTCTCACCAGCTCCTGTTCCATCCTTGTCTATTTCATCTGATTTCTCACCAGCTCCTGTTCCATCCCTGTCTATTTCATCTATTTCATCTGACTTCTCACCAGCTCCTGCTCCATTCCCGTCTATTTCATCTGATGTCTCACCAGCTCCTGTTCCATCCCCGTCTATGTCATCTGACTTCTCACCAGCTCCTGTTCCATCCCCGTCTATTTCATCTGACATCTCACCAGCTCCTGTTCCATTCCCGTCTATTTCATCTGATGTCTCACCAGCTCCTGTTCCATCCCCGTCTATTTCATCTGATGTCTCACCAGCTCCTGTTCCATCCCCGTCTATTTCATCTGATGTCTCACCAGCTCCTGTTCCATCCCCAGCTATTTCATCTATTTCATCTAACATCTCACCAGCTCCTGTTCCATCCCCAGCTATTTCATCTATTTCATCTATTTCATCTAACGTCTCACCAGCTCCTGTTCCATTCCCGTCTATTCATCTGACTCCTCACCAGCTCCTGTTCCATCCCCATCTATTTCAACTATTTCATCTGACGTCTCACCAGCTCCTGTTCCATCCTTGTCTATTTCATCTGATGTCTCACCAGCTCCTGTTCCATCCCCAGCTATTTCATCTATTTCATCTATTTCATCTGACATCTCACCAGCTCCTGTTCCATCCCCAGCTATTTCATCTATTTCATCTGACATCTCACCAGCTCCTGTTCCATTCCCATCTATTTCATCTGACATCTCACCAGCTCCTGTTCCATCCCCAGCTATTTCATCTATTTCATCTATTTCATCTGACATCTCACCAGCTCCTGTTCCATCCCCAGCTATTTCATCTATTTCATCTGACGTCTCACCAGCTCCTGTTCCATTCCCATCTATTTCATCTATTTCATCTGACATCTCACCAGCTCCTGTTCCATTCCCATCTATTTCATCTGACATCTCACCAGCTCCTGTTCCATTCCCATCTATTTCATCTGACATCTCACCAGCTCCTGTTCCATCCCTGTCTATTCCCGTCTATTTCATCTGACATCTCACCAGCTCCTGTTCCATCCTCGTCTATTTCATCTGACCTCTCACCAGCTCCTGTTCCATTCCTATTTCATCTGACATCTCACCAGCTCCTGTTCTATTCCTGTCTATTTCATCTATTTCATCTGATGTGTCACCAGCTCCTGTTCCATTCCCGTCTATTTCATCTGATGTCTCACCAGCTCCTGTTCCATCCCCATCTATTTCATCTGATGTCTCACCAGCTCCTGTTCTATTCCTGTCTATTTCATCTGCCATCTCACCAGCTCCTGTTCCATCCCCGTCTATTTCATCTGACGTCTCACCAGCTCCTGTTCCATTCCCATCTATTTCATCTGACATCTCACCAGCTCCTGTTCCATTCCCATCTATTTCATCTGACATCTCACCAGCTCCTGTTCCATTCCCATCTATTTCATCTGACATCTCAGCACCCAGTGCCTACACTTAATGATTTCCTGAATTTTTCCAGTGAAACTAGCGCCTAAATGTATTCTTTCTTCCTTCAGAAAGTGTTTTTAATCCGCAGGTTGAGTACTGTGTTTTCCTGATTTGATAAAACAGAATATTTTTATAGCTCTGCCAGTTTTCCTTTTCTTCCTCATGAATAATCAGTGTGATTCAGCTGGGACTTTCCCTGTTGAACAGGGAGAGTGGGTTTTTCCAGCCTCTCCTCCTTTTCACTCCGCTGTGGTTGAACTCCTACTTACTCTTTCGGCAGATGGTGTTTGCCAAGTTAGTTTTGCAGCTGCCTGGGGGTACTGGGGTGGAAGCAGCCCCGGGAAACCCCATGGGGGACTTTGTGTCTTTTACTCCATCACAGCGAAGCCACGGGGCTGGGCCAGGCCCTGCCCTTTGGGAACGGGCTCCTCCGGTGCTGGCCTTGGCCTTGGCCCCACTTCATCCTGGCCCCTGCCCAGGCTTCCAGCCCCTGCCCACAGCTGCCCCCTCCAGGGGCTGCCACTGTCCAGGTCAGGGAAGGCTCTTCCTACCTGGGGAGAGGACGCCCTGGCCAGGAACTGTCCCTCAGCTTTCTGTGGTCTCTGTGTCCCCCGTGCCCTCCGGGTGCCCTGCTGGGGCCCTGCCTCCCCTTGTCGCTCAGCCTTCATGGTAGGGGCTGCGGGTCCCAGCGCCCCTCCTCCTCCTGGTCACTCACCTCCCACTGAAGCAGCCCCGTCCGCACCAGTGTCTGGGAAACCCCAGTGAGGCCCCTCCCTGCCAGACCCCAGGTGTGGGGGCTTCTGCTCCACCTGCTGCATCTGCCACGGGGCCCTTTGGAGAAAGTGTTTTACCCAAAGAGGCGAGTCCTGGTGATGCTGGAGCCTGGCCCTCATTGCTGTCAGCCCCCAGCACCTGGTACAAAGGCCACTCATCCCAGTCTCTGAGCCCTGAAGACAGCGGAGGGCAGCCTGAGACACAGGACCCTCTCCCACCAGCTCCAGGGGCCAATGCCAGCCTGGCCAGCGGCCGGGACCAGCACAGAGGCTGTGGATGGGGAGGGTGGTGCTGGAGGCAGGGGGCATGCTGGCGGTCTTTTGGGGGTGGTGGACAGCCCCACACCCTGCTTGCAATGGTGCGTCAGGCAGTGGCCCCTGGTGCCGGCTGCTTCCCCAGCAGTGACCTTGGCTTCTCTTCTGCAAGCCCCTGCCTGCCCCGAGATGCCAAGCCCCAGGATCCACCAGAACTGCCCTCGCTGCCTATGGCCCCGAGCGCCCACCCTCGGGGCTGGACCTTTGCAGGAGGACAAGCCATGCCGGCCTCAACTAGCGGAGACCTCTGTGGCCACCTACGGGTCCTCTGCACTGTGCGTGGGGCAGTGGGGACGGAGCTTCCTGCCCCCCGGGGCCTGCTCTGCTCCTGCTCCTTGGACCTGGAGGAGCCATATCCACACAGACATGCACGACAAATGCGGCTGCAGACACGCGTGATGAATGCAGCATGACAAGCCAGACCCAGGATGGTGCCTCTCCCCGGACAGGAGCACTGGCCCGAGCCTGGCCCTGGGTGAGCTGCACAGCCGTTCCCTGCCTCGATTTCCCATCTGAAATCAGAGCACTCCCTCCACAGGCTGGCGCGAGGACTAAGATCGGGGTAGACCCGTGACCCTAGGGGAGGGTCCCCACAGGCATGAGCTCCTTGGCTTTGTTTCACGACGATCGTGAACACCAAGCAGGCGTAAAGCATCCCGCAGCGTTTAGGCCCTACCAGAGCATAGCCTTGGCTGATGTGGTCCTCACCCACCGTGCCTGGCATGACATCTGCCGGCCTATGCTGAGAGGCCGAGAAAGGATGAGGGGTGGGGAGGGTATTCTCTGCATCTGCCCTCCTGTCCACGGGACACCGGGCCCTGACCTCTGACAGAGGTGAGCATGGGTCCCAGGTGGGCCCATCCGAAGCCTGCCTCAGGAGTGTGAATCTGTGGCTAGGGCCACTTTCCCAGGACACCTGGACATCAGCTGGCTGAGGTCCCCACCCCTGGAGGCTGGATCAGAGGGGGCCAGAGGGGAAGGAGGCAGTGTCCAGCCCCTGAGAGGAGCAGGGAGGAGGGATGAGGCCAGAGTCCGAGGCTGGCGGGCCACCCGGGGGCCACTGCTCCAGGCCTGGTTTGGGATCACAGATCACCCTGCTGACACGCTCCCTGTCAGCATCTGCACGGAGGAGTTTGCTGGCTGTGGCCTGCAGCCCACACATCCCAACCACAGACACGCTCTTTCCCCACCTTTTGGTCCCTCTAACAACTCAATGCCCAGAACTTTCTATTGCCCAGGACTCTCAGGGTCCCTTCGGAGGCCGGACAGACCCTCCCCTCCCCAGGCCTTCGTGCAGCCCCTGCTGCATGCCAGGCCCACCTTGGTGAGGCTGTGTCGGGCTGAGCTCCTGGTCATTCTGCAGCTGGCTGGGCCCAGCTCCCTTTCCAGTTGCCCTCAGGCCACCCAGGAGCAGCTGCGTAAGGATTGCTAAGCCTGAGTTATCTGCATCTTTCTTCTTTCACTAATTTCTTTCTTTTTTTTTTTTTTTTGAGACAGAGTCTCACTCTGTCACCCAGGCTGGAGTGAAGTGGCGTGATCTCGGCTCACTGCAACCTCTGCCTCCCGGGTTCAAGTGATTCTCCTGCCTCAGCCTCCCAAGTACCTGGGATTACAGGCACCCGTCAACACACCTGGCTAATTTTTGTATTTTTAGTAGAGACGGGGTTTCACTATGTTGGCCAGGCTGGTCTCAAACTCCTGACCTCAGGTGATCCACCCGCCTCGGCCTCCCAAAGTGCTGGGATTACAGGTGCGAGCCACTGCTCCTTGTCCACTAATTTCTTTTTCATGCTGATAGATGTCCTGTTCCTGAACCATCTTTGCATTTCTAAAATAAACCACCTGCTTGGGGGTGGTGTGTGATGATTTTGACACATTGGTAGTATATTTTTGCTAATATTTTATCCAAACTGTTTGCATCTATAGGTACAAGCAACATAGCTTTATCATTTTATATGCTCCCCCCCACCACCTTTTTTTGTTTTGAAATGGAGTTTCGCTCCTTTTGCCCAGTCTGGAGTGAAGTGGTGCAATCTTGGCTAACCGCAACCTCTGCCTCCCAGGTTCAAGTAATTCTCCTGCCTCAGCCTCCTGAGTAGCTGGGATTACAGGCACATGCCACCACACCTGGCTAATTTTGTATTTTTAGTAGTGACAGGGTTTCTCCATGTTGGTCAGGCTGGTCTCAAACTCCTGACCTCAGCTGATCCACCCGCCTCGGCCTCCCAAAGTGCTGGGATTACAGGCTTGAGCCACCGCACCTGGCCCTATATGCTCCCTTGACAAAAGCTATGCCTTCATAAATAGGAGGTTTCCCATCTTTTTCTGTGGCCTAGAAAAGTTAGAATTATCTTTTTAAAGGTTAAATAAAATTCAACTGGTCTGCACTTTCCTTAAAGATAAATATCCATCACCTTTCTAATTTCTCCTGTGGAAGGCGGACTATTCGAATATTCCAGTTCTTCTAGGATTGAGTTTGGTGATTTCTATTCTGCTGGAAAAGCAGCCCTCTCTGTTTTCATGGGGATGGACTTGACTGTCTTCATCAGTCCCAAAAGTCCCAGGGTGGACACTGCTGCCCAGCCTGGGTGAGATGCTCACCTTCAGCCACGTCTCGGGACAGGAGCTGGGGCAGGCACCAGCCTGGGTCCAAGGTCTCCCGGGACCAGCCTAGGTGGCCACGTGGCCGCCCTGCAGGAAGGATGGCTCTCCCTTGTGGTGCTGGGGAGGTGACTTCCATGACAGCGACTGTCACGGACACTTCTGGGAGAGATGAGAAGGGAACAGATGATTTTGGGGCCGTTCAGGTTTCACACACGGTTTTAGTCCCAACATTGCAGTCCTCATCGGCAAACGTGATCCCTCCCCCACCGCGTTGGAACATTCTGTACCAGGTTGTATCTTATTGTTTGAAAACAAGTTCTGCTAGTTAATTGGTTCGGGAGCAGCACGGGTAAGTAACCTCCCCATCTTCCCAACTTGGAATGTCTGCCTCTTTGTAGATGTATCATTGTTGATAGGCTTTTTATTAAAGTTAAATTCCCTTTATGTTTTTAACGTTTGATTATAATTTAATGTCTTCATTTTTCTTTTTAAGCATTTCAAATACCTGACAGGAAACATTTGCAAAACAGACAGCCAGACTTGTCAAACACTTAAATTACTCTTATCCTTTTAATAAATCAAGCTCATAGCAAACCAAATGCACTTAAACATTCTAATAGCTTCACAAACTTAGTTACTGAACATCTCCCAGCTTAAAGTTATAACTCTAATAGAAATAATACATTATCCCTAAACTGTACTTTAAAAATGACTATGCACTTTGGGAAGCTGAGGCAGTGGGTCACTTGAGACCAGCCTGGGCAACGTGGTGAAACCCCGTCTCTACTGAAAATACAAAAAGTAGCCGGGTGCCTGTAGTCTCAGCTAGTTGGGAAGCTGAGGTGAGAGAATCACTTGAGCCCAAGAAGTTGAGGCTGTAGTGAGTAGTGATCACACCACTGCACTCCAGTCTGGGCAATGGGAATGAGACCCTGTCTCAAAATAGTAATAATAATAATAATAATAATAAATAATGACTGATACAAAGAGTTGGCTCACTGAATTATTTCTAGTAAATTTTTGTTTGTTTCTATATAGTATGGTTTATTGCTGACTTTGACATATCTGTAAAGAATTTAACATTTTGGCCAGGCACGGTGGCTCACGCCTGTAATCCCAGCACTTTGGAAGGCCAAGGCAGGTGGATCATCTAAGGTCAGGAGTTCAAGACCAGCCTGGCCAACATGGTAAAACCCCATCTCTACTAAAAATACAAAAATTAGCCAGGCATGTTGGCAGGTGCCTGTAATCCCAGCTACTCGGGAGGCTGAGGCAGAAGAACCACTTGAACCTGGGAGGCGGAGGTTGCAGTGAGCCGAGATTGTGCCATTGCACTCCAGCCTGGGTGACAAAATGAGACCTTGTCTCTGCCAATTAAAAAAAATCATATTCTGGGCCGGGCGTGGTGGTTCATGCCTGTAATCACAGCATTTTGGGAGGCCAAAGCAGGAGAATTGCTTGAGTTCAGGAGTTCAAGACCAGCCTGGGCAACATAGCAAGATCTGGTCTCTATATTTAAAAAATAATAATAATCATGGCTGGGCACGGTGGTTCACACCTGTAATCCCAGCACTTTGGGAGGCTGAGGCAGGTGGATCACTTGAGGCCAGAAGTTTGAGACCAGCCTGGCCAACATGGCAAAACCCTGTCTCTACTACTGAAAATTAGCCGGGAATGGTGGCACACGCCTATAATCTCAGCTGCTTGGGAGGTTGAGGCACGAGAATCACTTGAACCCGGGAGGCAGAGGTTGCAGTGAGCCAAGATTGTGCCACTGCCCTCCAGCCTGGGTGACAGAGCGAGACTCTATCTCAAAAAAAAGTAAAAATAAAATAATCATATTCTGCATATTCATCCCATATCAGATACACAATTTGCACCTACCTTCTCCCATTTCATGGTTGTGTTTTCACTGTTCAGTGTCCTTGGTGCACAGATGGTTTAAATTTAATGTTTTTTTCTGTTGCTGCTTGTGCTTTTGGTGTCATATCCTAGAAATCACTGCCAAAAGCAATGTTGTCAGGCTTTTCCCCTGGGTTTTTGTCTGAGAGTTCTATATTTTTTGCTGTTACATTAGGGTTGTTGGTCTGTTCTGAGTTAGTTTTGGTACATGGTGTGAGGTAGGGGTCCAGCACTATTCTCTTGAGCGTGGAGATGGTGATGGGCTTTTCCGAGAAGAAGTAGTTACCCAGGATTTTTCCCTGTAGATGGCTCTGTGTTCTTGGTTTGCTTTGCCTCTGGCTGTAAACTACTGGCAGAGCAGACTGTGGACATGAGATCAAATGAAGGTTTAATGAAGACCATTTGTTTAACCTTGGCTTGGATTTGCAAGTAAACAGACTTAGAGACAGACCCAGACATCTGAAACCACTTGATTAGTCTATGAACAACACAAATTCCACACACAGATGGAAATTTGACCCTTGGAAACTTACCTTATGTGCTGCCTTATCCTCAGCTCCTAGCAGGCTCAACACTAACTTGGAAAATGGAAGGATTGTGGGAATCCTGCATCGTTGCTGCTCATGGACTCTACCCATTCCTAGTGGTTTAGAGGCTACCCAGCCAGCTCCTTCTGCCTGGCCTCCCTCTGCCTGTCTGTCCGTCCAGCCGGCAACACCGTCCTCGCTCCTGTCCTCTGGCCACAGTGGCCCTATCCCATGGCGTCACATGGGCACACATCTCTGTGTTCGTCATCCAGGCCAGGAGCCTCTTGTCTACTGGCCTTGGGACCTGGCTTGCTGTGTGCTCTGGGCCTGGGAGCCTCCCTCCATCCATAGACTCAGGCCGTGCTTATGCCCTGTGCTCACATGTGTGAGGGGGTCTGCAGTGCACGTGTGATGTGGTGTGTGTGGCACTCTCAGCTGCCCTTCCTGTCTTCTCTCCCCCGAGCCTAGGTAGTCCTCCACCATGTTGGGACGCAGGGCCCCAATAAGAGGGATCTTATTTCTCCTTTGCTTGTGAAGCTCAATTTGGCTGGATATGAAATTCTGGGTTGGAAATTATTTTCTTTAAGAATGTTGAATATTGGCCCCCAATCTCTTCTGGCTTGTAAAGTTTCTGCTGAGAGGACCACTGTTAGTCTGATTCCACTGCTGTCCCATCAGTGGCACAGGGCCCTCCATGTCCTTGGTGCACATTGGCCCCAAGGGACCCAGACAAGGTGGGGCTGGGTGGGGGCTGGCGTGGGCTGTGTACACCCAGGTCGAGCTGAGCCTGGCCCACATTGGGCACCTACAAGTCAGGAGGACCCCCACCCACCTGGTACTTACACATCAGGGGTTCCCAACCCCCGGGCCTCAAACCACTACTGGTCTGTGGCCTGTTAAGAACGGAGCCTCACAGCAGGAGATGAGGATGGGGAGCAGTGAGCATTCCAGCCTGAGCACCACCTCCTGTCAGATCAGCGGCCACATTAGAGTCTCATAGGGGCGCAGGGGAGGGATCTCAATTGTGTGCTCCTTATGAGAATCTAATGCCTGATGATCTGAGATAGAACAGTTTCATCCCAAAACCATCCCCCTACCTGCATCCATGGAAAAATTGTTCTCCATGGAACTGTCCTGGTGCCCAAAAGGCTGGGGAGTGCCATTGTAGAGCACATAAGAAGCTCTGTGATTTGAGGCATCAGGATGGAGATGAGGGACAATGGTGTTATTTCAAAAGGCTGCATGCTGTTTGTCCTTCTTCCCTCAGGACGAGGTGTGATGAGCCAGAAAGTCTGATGGGGCTTCCCAGCACTATCCTAAGTCCTCCTCTGTAGGGCCTTGGGCTGCCTCTGGGCCAGGAGGCCACCACTCGGCCAGTCCCCCAGACCCCAGGGGCTGGGGCTGCTCCCTGCTGGGCTGTCTGGCTGGCTTTCCCTGCCTGCTCTGATGGTGAGTCATTCTGGGTCTCACTTGTGACTGAGTGGCTTCAGGACACAGGACACAGTTCACATCTCAGGGCTTTAGGCTCTGGGCTCTCTCTGGACATCTAGGGGCCAGGGAGGGACCTCAGGCCTTTGTAATGGGAGGCGACCCTTCTTCCCTGGACACACAGCTGAAAATAGACACCCCCCCGCCACCGTGCATGAGCACACGGGGGTCCCCACCCAAGGGTGTCATGTGATAGGATGAGGGCAGGGATCCACAGCTCGGGCTGGTGGAGCGGGGTGGGTCTGGGCAGAGGTCCCTGGTGCTGGCCTCTGTGTTTGGCAGAGATGCAAAGGCAGGCAGGGAGGGGAAGCTTCGGAGTGGGAGAGCGGAGGCACAGGTGTGCCCTGGGAAGGCAGGCGGCCAGGCGTGGGGGTGGATCACCAGACAGCAGGGTTCCTATGGGATTGGTGAGGGCTGCACAGTGGCTTTCTCTGGTTGGTCCTAAGTTTAAAGCGAAGCCGGGTGCGGTGGTTCACGCCTGTAATCCTAACACTTTGGGAGGCCAAGGCCGGTGGATTACTTGAGGTCAGGAGTTTGAAAACAGGCTGGCCAACACGGTGAAACCCCATCTCTAATAAAAATACACAAAAAATAGCCATGCGTGGTGCCAGGCACCTGTAATCCCTGCTACTCGGGAGGCTGAGGCTAGAGAATTGCTTGAACCTGTGAGGCAGAGGTTGCAGTGAGCCGAGATCACGCCACTGCACCCCAGCCTGGGCAACAGAGCAAGATTCTGTCTCAAAAAAAAAAAAAAAAGTGGGAGCAAAAATTAGGGAAGCTAATTAATGAGTGAATTACATTTGTCATTTGATGTATTAATCCAGTCCCAGCTGTTTGGAGCTGATGGTAACAGGAGCTGTTGTTTAGCTTCCTGGATGCTCTCTGGAGATGACAGTCTCCCTTCCTATGACTCAACACAGCAGGCGGCCTCTGGGCTGCTTACCAGGGATGAGGGCGACCTCCCGGGCTGGTTATGGGGGCAGGGGGGAGGCCTCCTGGGCTGGGTGCTGCAGATGTGGGGTGGAGTTCCATTTTTATAGCTGGGCTGGCCGCTGTCCATGTGCACATTCAGTCTCTAACAACTAAAATTTCTCATCGTAAGTTTAAGTAGTTGCAAAGGATATAACTTCTGATACATTATAAAACCAATATGTAAGAAATAACCATGAAGTCACTCTTTTAAATGTATTCAAAACCCCAGTGATTTGATAGCCACCATTATCTGTTTTAAAAATACAGGCAAGCTGGGCGTGCTGGCTCATGCCTGTAATCCCAGCACTTTGGGAGGCCAAGGCCAGAGGATGACTTGAGCCCAGGAGTTCCAGACCAGCCTGGGCAACATAGCAAGACCCCATCTCTATAGAAGTAAAAATAAAAAATTAGCCATGGTGTGATGGCACGGGGCTGTGGTCTCAACTACCCGGGAGGCTGAGATGGGAAGATCACTTGAGCCCAGCAGGTCGAGTCTGCAGGAAGCCGTGATCACATCACCGCACTCCAGCTGGGATGACAGAGCAAGATCTTGTCTCAATTCATCCGTCCATCCATACATCCATGCGTCACTCAGTTTAAAAGAACAAAAACCAAAGAAATCTGAAAAGCTTACAACGAAAAGACGCTCAGTATTCTCTTCTCCTCCCTGGATTAGCTGGGTGGGCGCCAGGTCATCACAGGGTCCTTGTAAGAGGAAGGCAAGGGGTCAGAGTCGGGCAGAGGAAGCCAAGGTCAGAGGGGAGGAGAGGCTGCTGACTTTGAAGATGGAAGAGAGGCCTGAGCCAAGGGGTGCAGCGGATCCTAGAAATGGTAAGAGGGACACAGATCCTCCCCTAGCGCCTCCAGGAGGAGTGGAACCCAGCCAACACCTGGATCGGAGCTTCTGACCTCCAGGGCTGTAGGAGAATAAATGTGTGTTGCTGAAGCCACTGACTAGTCAGCTACTGCAACCGTTGGAAACTACAGCTATTATCACAATGCCCATAAAACACGCTCCAGCAGCGTGAGAACAAAGACAGTTGTGTGGTGGTTATGAAACCTCACCTAACAAGACCATGTTTAAGAAAAGCCAAATAAAAACAAGAAGTAATTATTTAAGCGGTATCCTAATAAACGGCTTGCAAAAATATGTGAGCAAATGAAGTGGTCTCCATCCAGAACCTTGATGCTGGTATTTATTTTGCTACTTAAGAGAGTAAGAGGGCCATTTGGATCGTGTCATGGAGGGTGTTTCGACATCATGTTCCTGCTAGCAGTTGCAGAGGCAACACACTGGTCCAGGCTGTGCATCTGGGCTCCAGGCCGCTTCCCGTGGGGCAGGGCAGCTGCTCCAGGAAGAGGCTGAGAGCTGGGGTCTGGGTGACTGGGCTGGGATCTGCGCCGGGTGGGGAGGAGAAGCCCACCGCACTGGGGTTCAGGGGTTCCCAGAAGAGGAGACCAAAGCCATGCATGGTGCTTTGCAGCCTGAGTCTGAGCTGAGCTGGTGGGGGGACCCCAACACAAGGAGGACGCACCGGGTCACAAGGACTGTGCTCGCTGAACGTCAGGGACAGGGTGGGCCCTCCTTCCCAAAGCCATCAGTGCTCCCCACTGGGCCAGCGTCTGGCTCACAGCTGGGAGAGCTGGGAAGGGCTTCATGGGTCATGGGCACCCACCAAGGGCAGTGTTGCTGACCATATGGAGCCAGGAAAACCAAAGTTGCACATTTTTTTTTTTTTTTTCCAGAACACAAGATTCCCTTAGAGTGTTGTTCTTCACGGTTCATGATTTGGTTCAATTGTTACCATTCCTGATGCTTCCTCCTAGGAAACAAGAGTAAACCACAATGGCCTGTAAAACAAATATTAAAATCTCGCATGTACTCTTGGGACAGACGTCGTCTTGAGTGATGGCCTTCCCGGCCCTGACCAATGCCTGTGCACATCCTGAGTTTGTCTGAGAGCCAGAGACCCCCTCTGAGAAATGGGATGGCTCCAGCTGGGAAGCCCCCGCCCTGCCAAGGAATGTCACGAGCCTCAAGCAGATTTGCTCTTAGATATTTCTTTTTAATCGAGTCTAACAGTGATTGTTGAGCCGTCCTTCATTTTTTTTTTTTTTTTGTAAGATGCCTCTGTCAAGAAGGAGCCACGAGTTGGCTTTCATGGAATGGGCGCTCTTGGTGGCCAAATAGAAATAAAACCTGGCTGTCTGGTCCTGATCCACTCACAGAAGTGGCGTAAACACCTTATTTATGATCTGGGACATTCAACACCATCTTATAAAAGATTCATAGAATACACATTCACACACCCACAAAAATCAAAAGAGCAGATTTTCCAAAAATAGGTGCAAGAAAGATCCAACTTCCAGGATAAAATTTTAGAACCAACATTTCCATTAACAAAAGCGGTCTTGTCTAAAACTCTACCGACCGCGCTAAAATCCCATGCAAAACAGAGCTCTGGTTACGTAGATCGTGATCAATAATGAGAAACTGTGAGGCATCCCCGTGGGATCTGACACTTCCTAGGGGAGCTTCTCTCCACTGGTAATAAAGATATAATTAGGAATTTCAACTACCTGTGATTTTGCCAACTTACGGCATTTGTTGAGAATTTCGGTCCCTGTGTTTATGCACACACCTTTCAACCTTAGATTCGACGGTGATGGGTTAGTAAACGTCAATTCTAAAGTGGTCGTTTTCAACCAGGGGCAATTTTACCCCGCAGGGGACACTGGCAGTGTCTGGAGACATGTTTGGTTGTCATGACTTGGGGCAGAGGTGCCACGGGCACCTGGAGGGTGGAGGCCAGGGTGCGGCTCAATACCCTAACCACACAGGATGGCCCCAGGACAAAGATGCCCCTGGTGCTGAGAGCAGGGCCCTGTTCTAAGAGATGGGTGGCTGGAGCCTGGCTGGAGGGCACTAGTGGCACTCTGGGCTGGTCTCCCAGGGCCCCATCTGCCAGGTCGGGGGCCCACGTGGGCCTGCAGGATGTGCGTGCTTCTCTGCTGTTGAGATTGCATCAGCACAACACCCACAGCCGTGACACGGGGGCAGGCACCTCAGTGACGCCAGAGTCGGGACGGGAGGTGTGGAGATCTGGGCTTGCTTCCTCTTTTCAGTCCCAGGACAGCTCCTCTTTGGCTGTGGGAGGCCCAGCTTCAGCCTTGTCTGTGGCTTCCTGGTGGGAGGACACAGGCCTTGAGGGACGTTTGTCCGAGACGGTCCTCATCCTACTGGTAGGGACACAGAGCAGCTGTTCCTCTGGCCCCTCCAGGAGCAAGACACATGCACTGCTGAGGCCTTGGAAGCCTACACAGGTTTATCACCCACGGCCAGACCTGTCTGTCAGGGAGCAGGTGGGGTCATCCTGCCCTGAAGCACCGATGAGCTGATCCCGGTCATGCAGAGTGGGTGGGGACCTCTTGGCCGGGCCTGTTCATGTAGCACACACGGCTTTGCTGCCCATAGAATCCAGGGCCCCCAGTGTGAGCACCACTCTCCATCCCTGAGGCCGAGCCTTACCCTGGAGGCAGCCTCAGGTGAGATGCCCCTAATGGAGCCACCTGGCAATGGACCGCTCTCAGGTCCTTCAGCTCGGTGCACTCACCCGGGAGCCCTGCGTTCTGTCCTGGGGTAGAGGCTCAGGGTTGGTTTGAAGCCATATAGTCAGCTCCCAGAGTCACAGAAACGTCCAAGGAAGAAAACTGTCCGATTACAGACTTTTAAAATTCATTCATAGTTTAATCAAGAGAACTTGCTGTTCCTTCCTCAAATTTCCTAGAATTGGTCTTCTCATAATCACCACCTAGGGCACAGCTGTGGCCAAGGCTCCCATGATGAAGCGTCTGTGTCAGCGCTGACGAGGTCTGCCGAGGACGCGTTTCTCTCTGCAGCCCGGCACCAGTCTCAAGGCCATCGGCTCCGACAGCGTCACCTCCTGGGACCTTCCCTTCATGTATGGTCCCAGCGGCATGCGGGCCTGGTGGAGGAGGTCCTGACCTGCCGCCCAGGGATGGCCGGTCCAGGCGCAGGGCTGATTGTCCACTTCTGGCCCCTGAGGTACCGGGAGGGCTGGTGAGCAGCGTGTCTCGCTCTGAGACCGGCCAGGCTGCTGGGGCAGGCATCTGATGTACAGTAGTTCCCACACGTGGCAATGTCACCAGCAAGAGCCACGTATGATAAATTCAGGCCGTCCACCGTGGCAACACTGGGAAGGCTGATTCTGTAGGAAAGGATTGGCCTTGGGCCATCACTGTTCAAAGAAGAAGAAATCCCTGGATCACTGTCTGATCCAACTCCAGACAGACACTCCACACAGGATTCCTCCTGGGGATCACGGCTCTTCTCTTGGCGGAGAAGAAGGAGGGAGAATGAGCCCATGTCGGGGGCCTCTAGGCAGCCCGCCACGGCCCTACAACTCAAAGAAAACTCACCAGTCCCTGGTCACTCGGATGTCCTTGGAGGCGCTTGGATTTACTGCAGGGACCCCAAGAGTCGGCCACGGCAGAGCCCCGTCTGCCAGCCCACCGAGGACTCGGGGAGGGGAGGGAGCACTGCAGCAGAACGGAAAATGGGTCCACGCTCAGCTTCTTGGTTTATCATTTTAGACTTTATGCGTTGGCTTCCTGCGACACATGGTTACATTTTAACCCTTTTACAACCACATTTCCTCCCCCAATCCTCTCAATGTCATGATTTTTCTTTTTTCTTTTTTCTTTTTTTTTTTTTTTGAGACGGAGTCTCGCTCTGTCGCCCAGGCTGGAGTGCAGTGGCACAACCTCGGCTCACTGCAAGCTCCGCCTCCCGGGTTCACACCATTCTCCCGCCTCAGCCTCCCGAGTAGCTGGGACTACAGGCGCCCGCCACCACACCCAGCTAATTTTTTCATATTTTTAGTAGAGATGGGGTTTCACCCTGTTAGCCAGGATAGTCTCGATCTCCTGACCTCGTGATCCGCCTGCCTCAGCCTCCCAAAGTGCTGGGATTACAGGTGTGAGCCACCATGCCCGGCCATGATTTTTCTTTTGGAAATGGAGTCTCACTCTGTCGCCCATGCTGGAGTGCAATGGCACAGTCTCAGCTCGCCGCGCCCTCTGCTTCCTGGCTTCAAGCAATTCCCTTGCCTCAGCCTCCTATGTAGCTGGGATTACAGATGCGCGCCACCATGCCCAGCTAATTTTTGTATTTTTGGTAGAGACGGGGTTTCACCATGTTGGCCAGGCTGGTCTCGAACTCCTGTCCTCAAGTGATCCACCCACCTTGGCCTCCCAAAGTGCTGCGATTACAGGCGTGAGCCCCACGCCCTGCCTCCTTGTCATGGCTTTTACTCCACAGTGTGTATGCCGTTGAAATTGAATAAATATGGATTACAACAGAGACCACTGTTGTGCTATGATTACATTTGTCAACTTAGATAACAGAGAGGCTCTGTGAAAGAAAACGACATTTATTCAAAAATAGGGCGTTGCAGTCGGAACACACGTGCGGTGGTAGACTATGTGTGTGTTCAGGGAGGTAAAGGGAGAAAAAGGCTTTTAAAGGGAAAACGAGGATCACACCGTTGTTTTGAGGCGATTCCCCTTGTCTACAAGCATCAGCGGCGGGGGGTGCCAGTCCAGGGTTGGACCGCAGTTGCTGGGCAGATGTCCTCACAGTATTTTCTGTCCATGGTTGCAGTGGACTTCATACAGCGTTGTGGTTTCTCAGTCTTTTGTGATAGTAATACAAGAGTTATTAAGAAATAATTTTTATGCCGGGTGCGGTGGCGCACGCCTGTAATCCCAGCACTTTGGGAGGCCAAGGCAGGCAGATCACCTGAGATCAGGAGTTCGAGACCAGCCTGGCCAACATGGTGAAACCCCATCTCTACTAAAAATACAAAAATTAGCCAGGCGTGGTGGCGGGTGCCTGTAATCCCAGCTACTCGGGAGGCTGAGGCAGAAGAACCACTTGAACTAAATGACCATGATCCTGTGGCACGAGCAGGTAGACGGTAAGAGGGAGGGCGTCTCTGATACAGAATCTCGTCCCGATGAACTGGAAGCCCTGGCTACAGTGTGAAAACGCCAGCTTCTCTGCCTGGTTTGCAGGTGAAATGTCTGTGGTTATGGCATTGGATGGTTTGGTGAACTCCTGTGGGGCCCATAGGTCAGATATGAGACTTGTTCCTTAAAATTCATCTAGTTTCAGTTTATAGGGATTTAGGAACAGAGCAGTTTTTATTTTTAGTAATTCCATGGAAGAAATTTTGACTGAAGGAATCTAGAAGAATTTAGGATCTAGTCTAGTCTGTAGGTAGATATAAGAGCTCAAATACAATGCCCAGAGCTACAATCTCCTAACAGATGTATTATAGCTTTTCTTTTCCTTTTTCAAAAAGTATAGAGATAAGGGTCTCTCTATTTTGCCCAGGCTGGTCTCGAACTCCTGGGCTCAAGTGATCCTCCTACCTCAGCCTCCCAAAGTGTTGGGATTACAGGCGTGAGGCACTGCACCCAGGCCTACAGCTTTTCTTTAGAAACATAAGCTTTTCTCCCTATGTTGATCAGATGGGAATCTCAGATTTAATGGCCTCTTGAGGCTAAGAAGCCAAACCAAGGCAGGCTTTAGATTTGACCGATAGCCCTGAGGTTCCTGGGCCTGCCAGATGGTGACAGTTTTTATTTACTCTCGCTGTAAGGCTGGGAACTTTCTTTTTATTTGGAGGGGGGATGGAGTTTTGATCTTGTTGCCCAGGCTGGAGCGCAATGGCGCGATGTTGGCTCACTTCAACCTCTGCCTCCCGGGTTCAAGCGGTTCTCCTGTCTCAGCCTCCCAGGTAGCTGGGATTACAGGCGGCTGTCACCACGCCCAGCTAATTTTAGTATTTTTAGTAGAGATGGGGTTTCACCATGTTGGCCAGGCTGGTCTCAAACTCCTGACACCAGGTGATCTTCCCACCTCAGCCTCCCAAAGTGCTGGGATGATAGGCGTGAGCCAGCGCGGCCGGCCAGGCTTGGAACGCTTGAGGCACATTCTCAGAGACACGATTTCGGTCACAGCCTTGGTAATATGACTGGTGTTTTCAGTTGTAGCCTGTCATGAAAAGAGATTGACACATTACATTTTTGATACTACCTTACGTTTTTCCTGGCCTTTTGTTTATTTTTTATTTATTTATTTTTTAGAGACAGTGTCTCACTGTGGACGTCCAGCCTCTGGAACTGTGAGAGGTACATGTCTGTTATGTAGGCTGCCCAGGCTGTGGAACTGTGTCATAGTGGCCTGAGTGACTTAAGCACCTGCCTGTAGGCCAGGACTGTGGCTCCACAGCCCAGCTTCAAGCCTGGCCGACCAGGGGTTTGGCATGAAGACCCCGGCAGGGCTGGGGCTGTGCTGGAATCCACCCGGAAGTTTCCTGCCCCTTGGGCTGCCCACCAGGTCCCCTTTCTGCTCTGATCAAGCTGGACAAAACGTCGTGGGGCCACAGCACAGGGGGCCAACGCAAGCTGGGATCGTCAGACGTTAGGAAATCCCAAGGAAGAAGAGAAAGGGGACACATTCGGGAGACGTCGGCACACGCTCGAAGCAGCGGACAGGCACCTCTCTGTGGACAAGGCAGACTGGGCGGCCGAGATTCCGCATAGATGCCTGCTTCCTCCACGACCTCCACGTGTGGCTGGCCCAGTCCGGGTCCCCCTCACCTCCTCTGTCTGTCTTGGTGGCCTCACGCCGTGGGCTGTGATGCCGGCTACGCTGCTTGGGTGGCCAAGGGTCTGAGCTGCAAGACGCCCAGCCTGGGTCTCTCCCGAGCTCTCCCACGTCCTGTCTGCTCCTCCTCCGAGCTCCCGGTTGACTCTCACGACTGCACCAGCCTCTCCCCCAGGAAGGCGTGGAAACAACCTCCTTCTCCCAGGCCCGCTCTGCCTCCTGCGTTTCAAGGCAAATCCGTTCCTCCAGGAGATGATGCAACCACATCCTGTTGGAGCCCAGAGAAGTGCGGATGCAGCCCGGGGCTCTTTCTTTCCTAGAACCCTGCCTGGGAGTGGCTTCCCTGAACTAAGGACAGAGACTTTGTCTTCGTTGCCTCTCGGCCTGTGGGCACTGAGCATACAGTAGGTGCTCAGTAAATGCTTGCAGGCCGATGCCCAGAGCCATTAGCCCTCATCATGGTGAGCTCGGCAGCCGGTGTTGGGGCTGGGCTGGGCCTAGGTGTGCGTGGGGGCGGTGCTGGTCTGCTTTGCTGGGAGCCATGGACACCGGAGGAACAGGGCCCCATCAGTGCGGTCAGAGTGCAAACTCGGAGCGTCCTTCTCTGGAAAACGAATCGCAGTGGCCCCGATCTTTGGGGCTTTCTGTGTCCCCTGTGCATGGTTAGAGAAGAGAAAACATGCACTGGTTTCCTGAAAATCCCTAGGATTTCTTCAGAGGTCTCAGCTTCTGCCCACAGCCTCTGGGGAGCAGACCAGGAGCCCCGCAGCACGGGAGTCCCCAGACCCACCCTGACCACAGCCCAGGAATCCCGAAGCAGAGGCTCTGGGTCAGCTTCTGCAGACGCTGGAGAAGGCGGGAGGCTCAGGGCTGGGCCTCCAGGTGTAACCGCCTGATGGGCTCTTCCTGCCCCTGCACAGACAAAACCTCTTCACTGGGCCCAAGGCATTGCTATAAAGAGTTTAATAGACACCAGGCTGGCCATGCCACGTGGGAGATGGAGTTATTACTCAAATCAATCTCCCCCAAGAGACGGAGTTATTACTCAAATCAATCATCTCCCCCAAAATTCTCAGGCTCGGGTTTTTCAAGGATAGTTTGGCAGGCCAGGGAGTCTGCTTCTGGGTGGGGCCACAGGACCCGTTTGTGGCGGGCAGGGGGGTTGGTGTGTCCAAATCCAGGTGGAGCCATCATTGTCAGAAATGCAAAAACCTGAAAAGACACCTCAAAAGGCCGATCTTAGCGTCTACAATAGTGATTCATCCTCAGGAGTAATTGGGGAAGTTGCAAATTGTGTGACCTCCGGAATAATGGCTGTTACAATTTTTGCAAAGGCAGTTTCACAGGGATGAGGCCAGGACAGAGGGCACAGCCCGCTGGGACTCCAGGGCTGCCCCTGCACCCCCCATATCAGCTCAGAGAGGCCTGGTGTCCCCGCTGCCAGGGGTTGACACCCACTGGTACCCCCTGTGGAGCAGCTGTGGGCGGGGGCTCTGCAGGGAGGGTGTCGGGGGGGCCAGGTGAGCCAGCCCAGAGCCATGCCCGCACCTGCTGTGGGCCCTGGCCAGGGCAACCGCTGCCTCTTCCTTTGATGTCCCTACCCTATGCCCCTCTCTTCAGGCCTGTTCTGCCTGACCCCGCTACCTCCATCCGGCTGCCTTCCATGAGCAGCAGCTGCCTTCCCCCCACACCCTTCCTTGGTGGCCCCGCCCCTCTGATCTCCGTGAGCCAGGATCTCCCCCAGGATCCCTATTTCCCACGGGCTTTTGGCAATGGGCTGCTCACCCCCTCCTTCCCCTCCTCCTCATTCATCTGCCATCTGTGAAATGTGGAGGAGGGGCCTGCCCTGTGCCAGGATCTGTGCCCTAGACACTTCCCCAGCCAGGCCCAAGGGCTGAGCGTGAGGCTGGCAGGTCTGCACTTGAGGTGGATGGTGAGGGTGCCCTCGCCCACCTGCAGCCATTGTCTGCTGAGTACCTGTGGTGCAGATGGGGATGGCTGCAGGGGGGTCTCAGCTCACGCAGTATTGCGGCCATGGGTGCTGGACATTGGTAGGTCTCTCTGAGCAGAGCCCGATGGAAGTGAGAAGGGCGTGCGTTAGGGGAGCATTTGGAGAGGGAGCCACGGGTACAGCTGCCCTGCAAGCTCCAGCGCCCATGGGAAAAAGGGACCGAGGGGGAGAGGGGAGGGGATAGGGGGAGGGGAAGGGGATGGGGCGTCGGTGGTTGCTTGGGCTCTTAGGGTGGGGGTGATGCCTGCAGTCTTGGTGTTGAAGGGAAGACCAGGGAAGAGGGAAGGCAGGAGGCCTGGGAGAGAAAGGGAAGAGCTGTTGGGTGCTGGCGGAGTGGAGCGGGCTCTTGCATCACTCCATCCCAGGCTCCACCCTGCCTGCACCTGGAGGCCTCCCTCACCTGGCTCCTCTGTGCTCCAGACCCCTCCCCTTTCCAGGTCCAGGATTCCCCCTGCCCAAACAGCACTGACCAGGCCCCCAGGGCCTGTGCCTGCAGCCCCCAGGGACGGGTGGGCGTAAAAAGATACAGCGGGCCAGGCGGCTCACGCCTGTAATCCCAGCACTTTGGGAGGCCAAGGCGGGTGGATCATGAGGTCAGGAGTTCAAGACCAGCCTGGCCAAGATGGTGAAACCCTGTCTCTACTAAAAATACAAAAAAATTAGCCGGCGTGGTGGCCTGTGCCTGTAATCCCAGCTACTCCGGAGGCTGAGGCAGAGAATTGCTTAAACCTGCAGGGGTGGAGGTTGCAGGGAGCCGAGACCGCACCACTGCACTCCAGCCTGGGCGACAGACCAAGACTCCGTCTCAAAAAAAAAAAAAACAAAAAAACACAGCGGCCATTCTGGGAGCCTTGGAATGACCCTGAGAAGTGAGTGTGAGCATGTCTGGAACACGCAGCCGAGCCTGAAGGAGGACTGGGTGCCTGCAGTGGGAGCCATCTCCCTTCTGGGTTTTCTGATTTTAGCCTCGCGCTGCCTTTGAGCGATTTTCCAATCTGTACATTACAGATAACAGAGAGCAATGCAGATAACTCTTGCTTATAGCCACGTGTAGTGGGTTGACAGTGGCCCCCAAAAGCTATGTGTAAGTCCCGACCCTCATGCCTATGGGGTTGAGCTTATTTGGAAATAGGGTGTTTGTAGATGCGTCATTAGATTAAGGCTTTTTTTTTGTTTTTTTGTTTTGTTTTTTGTTTTTTTTTTTTTTTTAGGCGGAGTCTCACTCTTGTTGCCCAGGCTGGAGTGCAGTGGCACGATCTCGGCTCACTGCAACCTCTGCCTCCTGGGTTCAAGCAATTCTCCTGCCTCAGCCTCCCAAGTAGCTGGGATTACAGGCACCCACCACCACACCCAGCTAATTTTTGTATTTTTAGTAGAGATGGGGTTTCACTATGCTGGCCAGGCTGGTCTTAAACTCCTGACCTCAGGCAACCTGCCTGCCTTGGCCTCCCAAAGTGCTGGGATTGCAGGCGTGAGTCACCGTGCCCAGACAAATTAAGGCTCTTGAGACGAGGTCATCCTGGGTTATGCAGATGGACCCTGAATCCGACACTAGCACCCGTGTGGAAGGAACGAGAGGGAGATTTGGGGTCCGCAGAGGCAAACCACAGGAGGACGGAGTCGGAGACTGGAGCACCGCGGCCTTGATCGGGGGACACCAGGGCTGCCGGCTGTGCCAGAAGGGGCTGAGGCTGGACCGGATTCTCTCCGAGTTCCCAGAAGGAGCCAGTCCTGCCGACGCCTTGATGCTGGACTCTGGCCTCCAGAAATGTGCGAGGACAAACATCTGCGGTTTCTAGGCCCCGCCTGTGGTCCTCTGTTGCAGCAGCCTGGACAGTCTGGACTGCCTGGACAGCATGCAGATGGGCTCTGCCCGCGGCTGCCCACGAGTTCCCACCGCCCGCCCGTCCGTGGGAGAGCCAGTCCTCGTATGTGAAGCGTACCTGTATCCCTTTACTCCGCGTACACAGGTGCCTTTGTCACTTCTCCTTTGACCTGGCTGGCACATCTTACCGGTTTCTGCGCTAACAATGAGTTGAAGGAAATCTTGAACGCGCGTTCATTTTATATCGGTATCAGAGTCTGTTTATTTCTTGTTGACACTAATCTTTGAGCATGAGTAGTTTAGTGATTGTGAAACAGAAACTTCTGGATACAAAATCAGTCTCCTGGCTGTGACCCAATCATCTTCGCAGTTCTGATTACCTGTGATTAAGAAAATAAATAAGAACACCCATTGGGGGAAGGCTTCCCTCCCCCGGGCACAGCAGCTTTAAAACCGAAAGGGAAGTGGGTGCTGTGAGCAGCTCTGTTCAGGCCTAAGGCCACGCATGTGTGCCCCGTGGGGGAGACA
This sequence comes from Homo sapiens, assembly GCF_000001405.40. NCBI lineage: Eukaryota > Metazoa > Chordata > Mammalia > Primates > Hominidae > Homo > Homo sapiens. Next base: position 5,056,733 of record NC_000021.9, on the reverse strand, counting down.
TGCACCAGCGAATCAGGAAACAGTGGTGACAGCCGTTCCGGGAGGCTGACTGGGGGTGCAGGGGTCACTTTTCTAATGTGGGTGGGTCTGTGTCCCCTGCAGGAACGTGGCTGCAGCAAAGCCGGTCAGCCAGCGGTCAGCTCCAGCCCCTGTCCAGGCCCTGTGGGTCCTGCTGACCAGGCTGCGGTTGTTCCCAAACCAGTTCCCAGCCCCCGCTTGCCCTACTTCCTCTCACACCAGCTCCTTCCACCCCCTCACACCCACCTGCAGGCTCCCAGCCCAGGCTACTGACATCAATCATGGCAATCGCTATTCCAGAGGTATACGCGGTGGGTGGGGTCCGGTATCGCCTGCCATGCCTCACTCACCGGGCACCCAGATAACCTGAGGCCAGGGAGCAGCCACTCGCCCTGACCCATGCTCCCCGGGCCCCTGAGGCACCCAGGAGGACCACCCGGCCGCTTCTGCTCAGAGCCCAGCACCCCCGAGTCTGTGAAGAGGTCACATCTGACCACGTTTCCAGGTGGCTGCCCAGGCGTGGGTTCATGGCCGCTTCCGGTTTCCTCCTCGAGCTGAACCACACACCTGCTCTGTCCCGGGCTTTCTGGAGGGGTTTTCCGAAGTGAGACTGTGGGCTCCCTCCAGGGCTGGGGGCAGGAGGACACACGGGGAAGGTGGGCAAGCAGCCCCAGGCTGAGGGAGGCCTCCCCTCTGCAGCGTTTGTTCATTCATTTGTTCATCGCTAACACTGTCTTGGGCATCAGGGAAAACAGGTGTCTCTGGTCCACATGCAGAAGAGCCACCACCGTGGCACGACTGGATGACTCAGACCCCGGGCGGGGGGTATGATTTGGACACAGTCATTGTCCAGGGACACAACTTTGCCTGGACCAGAGCTTCTCACCCCCAGGCCATTTGAAACCCCAGGGGATACTCGACAAAGTCCAGAGACATTTTGGGTTGTTCCTTTCCAGCCCCGGCGATGGTGGGGACATGTCCATGTCTGTGTCCCTCCGGTCACTCTCTCTGGCCCTCTCCCTCCCTGGGGGCAGCTGCTCTCAGCCCTCCCTGCCCCCACATCGCCATCCTGCCTGTCCTTCTGGGCCTGCACGTTTGTTGTGTTTGGAAGGAGCCACCAAGGAGGAGGATGTCAACGTGCAAGTTCTCAGGGAAGCAGGCCCCGCAGCCTCCGTCAGTGTCTTCCGTCCGCAGGAAGAACCCAGGCCTGGGTGATTCATCGGGGCCTCAGGGCCGGGAGGCACTAAATCTTCTGCAGATGTGGTAAGATCCTATCACAGCAGAAAGGGAAGGGCTAGAGTCTCAGGGAAGGTTTTGCTAGGGAGACGGGCTTGGAGGGGGCTGAGGCTCATGGGAGCTGCAAGGGTACAGGAGGGGAGGGGACCCCAGGGCAGGTGGATGGACACCTGGGTGGGTAAGAAAAGGGCCTCTCAGAGGGCAAGGGAGGGCCAGGGAGGGAGCAGTGAGCCCTGACTGACTGTACAAGCTTAACTGGCTGCCCTTGTCCTGCAGGTGGTGTGGGCTGTGTGGATTTCGGATGTGGGCCCATAACATAGCCACACTGCTGCAAAGCAAGTGAGTCTGAGGCAAGAAGAAGGCCCAACCTTGGGAGGCTGACCTGGAGGGCAGGCAGAGGCAGGTGGTAAGGACCTGCCTTACCTGTTGAGGTGACAGTGGGGGACATATTGCAAGGAAGGAGGCCCTGGATCCTCAGGATGTGGATGGTGGGTAGAAGGGTGACAGCTAATGGATGTCCACCTGCACAGATGCCCACCTGCATGAGTGCCCACCTGCATGAGTGCCCACTTGTACCAATGTCCACCTGTACAGATGTCCACATGCAAATGCCCATCTGCACTGATATCCACCTGCACAGATGCCTACCTGCATGAATACCCACTTGCCTGAAAGCCCACCTGCACCCATGTCCACTGGCACAAATGCCCACCTGCACCCGTGTCCACTGGCACAAATGCCCACCTGCACAGAAGCCCACCCACACAAATGCCCACCTGCAAAAATGTCCGCCTGCACAGATGTCCACCTGCATGAATGCCCACCTGTGTCCACATGCACGAATACCCACCTGCACAGATGCCCACCTGCACGGATGCCCACCTGTACAAAGGCCTACCTGCGTGAATGTCCACCTGCATGGATGCCCACCCGCACGGATGCCCACCTGCACAGTTATCCATCTGAACAGCCCTCTGGTGCCTCCTTTTGCTTGCACATGTTCAAATCCTCCCAGTCCTACAGTCGATTGTTCCTAGTTGGGGTCATTCTGGGCATGTTATTCTAAAACTTGTTTTTTCCCGTCTCCACATCAAAGGAGAAAGGTCTAGCTTGCTTCTTTGCTATAGAGCAGGGCCTGAGTGAGGTCAGGACCACAGAGCAGACCCTATGAGTGTTGGTCAGGACACAGAGCAGGACCCCTTCAGGGTCTGGAAGAGGGTTCCCCAAGCTCCTGTTCAACCTGAGTGAGAGGCTCAGGCTGCCCCCAACACACTGCACAGAAAAATGGGCCATTGATTCAGAGCCACCCACGCTAACAGCAGTTCAGCTGCAGCCCTCCGGCAGGCAGGTCCTGGGAACACTAGGAACCTGAGACCCTGTCCCTTCCTGATAGCGGGGTGTGGTGACATGAGGAGAGACTGGGTACCTCCATTCTGCTCATGAAAGTCACAGAGGGGACCGGGGACCCCAGGCCCCTAGCGATACCAGCCCCCCACACAATGCCTTTCTGGGATACACCCCCCCAACACGGCCTGCCCAAGGCATCAGGAGCTGTGTAGAGGAGTCAGCTGGGGGTGGCAGAGCCCCAGGGAACAATCATGGGTCGCTGGCAGATGAGCCATGCGCCCACACAGCACAGGCCCTCACCCCTGCAGCTGGGGGAGCCCTCCTTGGGAGCGGGCCCAGGATCCGGGCAAAATGACACAGACCGGATCCAGGAGCAGACTGAGCAAAAGTGGCAAAAGTATTCTCCAGGTTAAGGGAATATTTTCACCAACAGAGAGACCAGCTGTCCCTCCAGACCCAAGGGTTCCACATCCCTGGAGGCAACCAAGCCAGATGCAAAATATTTGAAAAAGAAAAATGAAAAAAAGAACAATACAGCAATAAAAAAGAACACAAATAAAAAATACAGTATAGCTATTGACAGAGCATTGTGTTGTGTTAGGTCTGATAAGTGATCTAGCAATGGTTTGCAGGATGCAGGAAGATGTGCGGGAGGGTGGGCACAGGTGCTAGGCAGACACTGCGCCATTTTATTCTGGGGACTTCAGTATCTGCAGGGGTCCTGGGACTAATCCTCAAAGGATACCGAGGGACAACTTGATGTTATTATTTTATTTTATTTTAAAGACATGTCTTGCTATATTGCTCAGGCTGGTCTCAAACTCCTGGGCTCAAGTGATCCTCCTGCCTCTGCCTCCTGAGTAGCTGGGACTACAGGCATGAGCCACCATGCCTGACTTATGTTATGATTTTAAAAAGTAATCCATCAACCTGAAGAGAAGCCCACTGTCCTTCACCTTTGGAAGTTCCTACCCACCATGGGTAAGATTTCTGCATGGAGAGGCCCTGCTCCCCCAACCTCTCTCTTGAGTCCCCTGCTCAGCTGGCATTCCCCACCTACTGTGGAAGAACATTCTGGGTTTCTCCGTCAGCCCCAGGCCCACCCCTTGGGGAGATGACTGGTGACTTACATGTGTCTGTCTCTCCAGCTAGGCATGGTGCCACAGCAAGGGGTGTAAATACTGCAGGCCACACATTCCCGGCACCCAGGACAGGAGCAAACAAAAGGATAGATGGTTGGCTGGCTGGATGGATGAATGGAGGGAAGGAGGGAGGGATACAGGAATGGAGGGATGGAGGGAGGGATGACGGAGGGAGGGATGGGTGGGTGGGAGGGATGGATAGATGGAAGGATGGAAGGAGGAGGGATGGATGGATGAAGGGAGGGAGGAATGGATGAATGGAGGGAGGGAGAGAGGGAGGGATGGACAAGAGGTAGGGAAGGATGGACGGGAGGGAAGAATGGAGGGAGGGATGGATGGAGGGATGGAGGAATGGATGGATGGAAGGGAAGGATGGAGGGATAGAAGGATGGAGGGAGGGAGGAATGGATGGATGGAGGGAGGGATGGATGGATGGAGGTAGGGAGGGAGGAATGGATGGATGGATGGAGGGATGGATGGATGGAGGTAGGGAGGGAGGGATGGATGGATGGAGGTAGGGAAGGAGGAATGGATGGATGGATGGAGGGATGGATGGATGGAGGTAGGGAGCTAGGGATGGATGGATGGAGGGAGGGAGGGGGTGGATGGGAGGGAGGGATGGATGGATGGAGGGAGGGAGGGAGGGATGGACAGGAGGGAAGGATGGATGGATGGAGAGATGAGGGATGGATGGATGGAGGGATGGATGGATAGATGAAGGGAAGGAGGGAGGGAGGGAGGGATGAATGGATGGAAGGATACAGGACACAAGGTCATAGGTTTGACAAATGTCACCTCCTCAGAAGCCTCCCTAACACTCACAGTTTGATAAGTCCCCTGTTTGATTCTCTCCCAGAGCCCAGGTCACTCCAACACTGTCTGGTTTACCTGCCTTCTGCATGGCTTGCCCTCTGTCTCCAATTCCTGGAACAGGTCCCACCACCTGACACCTGACATCTGTCAGGGACACATGAATGTGGAATGGATGGATGGATGCCTGTGAATGAATGTGGGATGAGTGAAAAGTGAGTGAATATGGGATGAATGAATGAGCTAGTGAATGTGTGATGAATGTGTGAGTGAGAGAATGTGGGCTGAGTGAATGTGGGACGAATGAGTGAGTGAATGTGTGATGAATGTGTGAGTAAGTGAATGTGGGCTGAGTGAATGTGGGATGAATGAGTGAGTGAATGTGGGCCGAAAGAGTGAGTGAGTGAATGTGGGATGGATGAGTGAGTGAATGTGAGATGAATGGATGAGTGGGTGGGTGAATGTGGGATGAATGGGTGCGTGAATGTGGGATGAATGAATGAATGAGTGAATTTTGGATGAATGAGTGAGTGAATGTGGGATGAATGAATGAGTGAGTGACTGAGCTGAATGGTTGAGTGAATGTGGGATGAATGAATGAGTGAGTGACTGAAATGAATGGGTGAGTGAATGTGGGACGAATGAATGAGTGAGTGAATGTGGGATGAATTAATGAGTGAGTGAATGTGGGCTGAATGAACGAGTGACTGAATGTGTGATGAATGAGGGAATGTGTGTTGAAGGAATGACTGAATGTGAGATGAATGAATGAGTGGGTGAATGTGGGATGAATGAGTGAGTGAATGTGGGATGAATGAATGAATGTGTGATTTGGGATGAATGAATGAGTGAATGTGGGATGAATGAATGAGTGAGTGAATGTGGGATGAATGAGTGAGTGAATGTGGGATGAATGAATGAATACAAAGCCCCCCCACCCCCCAGGTGCTTCAGCAGAACAGTTTCATGGGAAAGGAGATGTCCTGGACCCTGGGCCTCATGAAGCCAACCTTGGGGCTTCAGCTGAGAGTGTTAAAAATAGAGACCGTTAAAAAAATTTTTTTTTAAAACAAACGAACGGAAATTCCCTTTATCAAAAGGAGTCACTGTCATTGAATTCAGAAAAGTTACATGTTCAGGAGCTGAGGGCCTTTTCTTGAAAATATAACACACCTCTCTGGGGGCTTCCCTGGGGACAGCCCGGGAGTGAGGCCAGCTGCTCGGGGAAGCTGAGGCTGACATGGGGGTCTGTGTCCAGGGTGGGTGGGGCCTTTGGAAAACAGTCATCCAACAGTCACTAAGAAAGACACTGACAATTCATTCATGGATTTTGCAAATAAACCATGGGCCCCACATAAAGGATTGTTATTTAAGGAAAATGCCCTTGGCCAATTTGTCCTGAGGATTTTTTGGACAAAACAGCATTTGTCAGCGTGGAACTTCTCAACAGGAAATGCAAAAATCCAAATAAATAAATAATTTGGGCTGGGCGTGGTGGCTCACACCTGTAATCCCAGCACTTTGGGAGGCCAAGGCAGGCGGATCACCTGAGGTCAGGAATTCAAGACCAGCCTGGCCAACATAGTGAAATCCTGTCTCTACCAAAAATACAAAAATTAGCTGGGCGTGGTGGCATGCATCTGTAGTCCCAGCTACTCGGGAGGCTGAGGCAGGTCAATTACTTGAACCCGTGAGGCGGAGGTTGCTGTGAGCCGAGATCACGCCAGTGCACTTCAGCCTGGGCGACAGAGCGAGACTCCGTCTCAATAAATAAATAAATAAATAAATAATTTGGAGAAGGTTGTGGGCTCAGGGCTGGCCATGGGAGAGCAAGGAGTGGTAGGTGCGGCTAAGCAGGTGTTCCAAACAAAACACACCCCAAGCACAGCCCTGATTTTAGAGTTCACAGTTTCTGTCGTGTAAATGCTCCATACTCCTGCTGTGGCCATTTGTAAGCTTCCAGCTAGTTCTCAACTAGCTGCAAAATTCTTGAATATTTAGTAATGGTTTCCACACCTGGGGCCCTGGGCAGGGCTGCACCAAGGTGAGGCCTGGGGAAGACCCTCATGCTCCAGCAAGTGCAGCGTTGGCCCCAGGGGTGAGCATACCCCACGTTTTCCTCCCTGGCTTCCCAGATTGTCTCCCCTCACCCATTCTGGTGGTGGCCAACGTGGCTATTGCCATGGATCACAACCCCTGGCCAGACCATCCCATCCCCCTGGGCCTCTGGCTCCTTTCAGTAAAATCACGGTGGGACCCTGTCTGTCGCCATAAGACTGCTCCCGTGAGGTAACTGTTGGTCACTTCCTTTGGCCTGCCATTTGCACAGCACAATGGTTCTTCTGAGTGAGTATAAGCTGGCTGCATGTTAGATGTACCTGGGTCCCACCCCACTGTCAGAGGTATTTGAACCAGAGTGACTCCATCTTAAATAGGCACTGGGTAGAATGAGGCTGAGACCTACTGGGCTGTATTCCCAGGGTGTCAGGCATTCTAAGTCACAGGATGAGACAGGAGGTCGGCACAAGGTACGGGTCACACAGATCTCACTAATAAAGCACGTTGTGGTAAAGAAGCTGGGTAAAACCCACCAAAACCAAGATGGTGACAAGACTGACCTCTGGTCGTCCTCACTGCTCCTTTTTTTTTTAACATTGAGACGGAGACTTGCTCTGTCACCCAGGCTGGAGTGCAGCGGCGTGATCTCGGCTCACTGCAAGCTTTGCCTCCCGGGTTCACGCCATTCTCCTGCCTCAGCCTCCTGAGTAGCTGGGACTACAGGTGCCCGCCACCAGGCCCGGCTAATTTTTTTGTATTTTTAGTAGAGACGGGGTTTCACTGTCTTAGTCAGGATGGTCTTGATCTCCTGACCTTGTGATCCGCCTGCCTCGGCCTCCCAAAGTGCTGGGATTACAGGCGTGAGTCACCTCGCCTTGCCTTTTTTTTTTTTTTTTTTGAGACCTAGTCTCGCTCTGTCACCCAGGCTGGAGTGCAGTGGTGTGATATCAGCTCACTGCAACCTCCGCCTCCTGGGTTCTAGCAATTCCCCTGCCTCAGCCTCCCGAGTAGCTGGGATTACAGGCACACGCCTCCATGCCTGGCTAATTTTTTGTATTTTAGTAGAGGAGACAGGGTTTCACCATGTGGCTGCTCTTTATACGCTGATTATAATGTATTAGCATGCTAAGAGACACTCTCACCAGCACCACGACAGTTTATAAATGCCATGGCAACATCAGGAAGTTACCCTATATTGTCTAAAAAGGGGAGGATGGCCAGATGCAGTGGCTCACGCCTGTAATCCCAACACTTTGAGAGGCTGAGATGGGCAGGTCACTTGAGACCAGGAGTTTGGAGACCAGCCTGGTCAACATGGCAAAAACCCTATCTCTACTAAAAATACAAAAATTAACCAGGTGTGGTGGTGCACATCTGTAATCCCAACTACTTGGGAGGCTGAGACATGAGAATCTTTTGAACCCGGGATTCGGAGGTTGCAATGAGCCGAAATCACATCGCTGCACTCCAGCCTGGGTGACAAAGTGAGACCTGTCTCAAAAAATAAATAAACAAAAAACAAATAAAGGAGGAACCCTCAGTTTCAGGAATTGCCCACCCCTTTCCCGGAAAGCTCATGAATAATTTACCCCTTGTTTAGCATATAATCAATAAATAACCGTAAAAATAGCCAACCAGTAGCCCATACTTCTGCTCTGCCTATGGAGTGGCCATTTTTCTTATTCCTTTACTTTCTTAATAAACTTGCTTTCACTTTATAAAATCGTCCCAAATTCTTTCTGGAAGGAGGTCCAAGTACCGTCTTGGGGTCTGGATTGGGATCCCTTTGTGGTAAAACAACCCTTCCGTAACTGCTGTTAATGGGAAAAAACAGACTCTAGAACATTTTACAGAGGTTTATTCTGAGCCTGTACATGTGACTGTGGCCTGGAGAGAAGCAAACCCAGGAAGCCTTGAGTGAGTCGCCCCGAGGCGGCCGGGTTACAGCTTGACTGAGTGGCCCCGAGGCGGCCGGGTTACAGCCTGAGTGAGTGGCCCCGAGGCGGCCGGGTTACAGCTTGACTGAGTGGCCCCGAGGCGGCCGGGTTACAGCTTGACTGAGTGGCCCCGAGGCGGCCGGGTTACAGTTTGGTTTTACTCATTTCAGGAAGACACAAGTTACAGGCCAAGACATAAATCAGAATGTGGAAGGTGCACACTGATTTGGCCTGAAAGGCAGGAGATCTTGGAGCAGGGTTTACAGGTCATAGGTAGGTTCCACGATTCTTTTTTTTTTTTTTTTTTGAGACTGTGTCTCACTCTGTCGCCCAGGCTGGAGTGCAGTGGTGCGATCTCAGCTCACTGCAACCTCTGCCTCCTGGGTTCAAGTGATTCTCGTGCTTCAGCCTCCCAAGTAGCTGGGATTACAGGCGCCCACCACCATGCCTGGTGAATTTTTGTATTTTTAGTAGAGACGGGGTTTCACCATGTTGGCCAGGCTGGTCTTGACCTCCTGACCTCAAGTGATCCGCCCACCTCGGCCTCCCAAAGTGTTAGGATTACAGGCATCAGCCACTGCACCGGCTGGTTCTGCGATTCTTTAGTTGACGGTTGATTGAAAGCGTGAAGCTTTGTCTACAGAGGTGAAGTCAGCTGGAAGGAAGGCTGGAATTAAGATGAGGGGTGTGGGGGCCGAGGCCCTTGGTTTGCAGATGAAGCCTTGTAGATTGCAGCCCTCAGAGAGAATAGATGGCAAATGTCCCTTTTCAGACCTTAAAGGTGTCAGGCCCTCAGTTAATCTCTCCTAGGTCTGGAAAGTACTAGAAGAGGAAGTCCTGGCTGCATTCGTGGAGATTCTCTATGGGTGCTAGTTTCTCTGAGAAAGGATGGTTCTGTGGGACCCTTTCAAAATATGTCAAAGAAATATATTTTAAGGCAAAATATTCTCATTTCCTTCAGAGTCTGCTATCCGTCACGTGATGCTATACCAGAGTCAGGCTGGAATTTGGTGTCTTATTGCCACATAGAGTGTGTTCCATCCGTCTTAGGATCCTGATTTTAATGTCAGGACTGGCCAGCTGTGCCTCAACTCTGAAAGGGAGGGTTGTGGCTGTAACCAGCAAAGGTCTGGCTGCTCACCGCTTAAAAAGAAGCCACGATGACAAGAGTGGGGCGTGATAGAAAGAGAGTGAGCTGCCGGGCGCGGTGGCTCACACCTGTAATCCCAGCACTTTGGGAGGCCGAGGCGGGCAGATCACGATGTCAGGAGATCGACACCATCCTGGCTAACACGGTGAAACCCCGTCTCTACTAAAAATACAAAAAATTAGCCGGGCGCGGTGGCGGGCGCCTGTAGTCCCAGCTACTCAGGAGGCTGAGGCAGAAGAATGGTGTGAACCCGGGAGGCGGAGCTTGCAGTGAGCCGAGATCACGCCACTACACTCCAGCCGGGGTGACAGAGCGAGACTCCGTCTCAAAAAAAAAAAGAAAAGAAAGAAAAAAGAAAGAGCGTGAGCTTCATTCTCATGCTAGCAAGGGGGAGATTGGCCGGAATCCTTTCCAAAAATGGCCACTCTTCAATTTGTAGAGGGACGTGTAGAGGGGGTCTGGAATGCAGGCGAGGCAGGGGCCAGGAGGTGCCAGGTGACCTGCTCTGATGGCTTCTCTTGAGTTATTGTTCCATCTGTTACAGTAGGCAGCTGGTCAGACATGAGCAGGGCAGGAGAGGGCCCTCCCAACCAGGAATGTCAGGCGACCATCAGTGTTGGTCGGGTGGCTGTTAACTGTCTCTCTAAAATAATAATTGGTCACAGCCAACGCCAGGGAAAGGCAGCCTCCCAACAGACAGAAAAATCCTTCCCCATAAGACCTCAGGCATTGGGTGAGTGGGCTCAAGCATGTGTATTAAAAGGCAAAATTGTGGAGTGTAACTGGTCTATGGCCTCCTAGGGACATTTGACAGGTAAGGGAACAACGCCTCAGGTAAGCAGGCGCGCAACTCCAGTAAACACATAGCGCGTGCTCCTCCCAAGGGCTGGCAGCCACTGCACATGTGGACAGCCCACCCCAAGGGAAGAATCAGGGGAGAAGGCAGGCCAGACCCCGGAAGCGTGCCAACATATAAAACCCCAAGTCGAAGGTCAAACCACACACCTGTCCTTCAAGTCACCTGCTTGGCCCCCTTCCAAGCGTCCTTTCCTTCCTTTCATTCCTGCTCTAAAGCTTTTTAATAAATGTCACTCCTGCTCTAAAACTTGTCTCGGTCTCTTCTTCTGCCTTCTGCCCCTTGGTCGAATTCTTTCTTCTGAGGAGGTGAGAATTGCGGCTGCCGCAGACCTGTACGGATTTGCCACCGATCACAGGTTTTGGTGCCGTGTCACTTGGATAACTTCCACCACAAACACATCTGGTGAAGGGGCTGCGCCATCGCGGGTCGCCCCCAGATTAGAAATCAATCACAGTCAATCTTGCAGTGAGTCTTTAGCCAGGAGTAAGCTCTGGCCTCAAAGTAACCCGCCTGCTGGGGAAGGAATTCTGGAGATGCCTGGTTCGTCCCAGGATCTGGCCCCCAAAGCTTCTAGGAAATAGATGACCAGACAGGTGAGCATGGTGTGCACTCAGCAAGCATCCAGATAAACAAATGTGCACAGGGCCCGGGAGCTGCAGGTGGGAGAGGGAAGGCAGTAGGCTCACAGCTTGCTCCCAGGCTGGATTTCAAGATGAAAGGAAGCACATCTGTAGTTTGCTCAAAGCCATGTCTTGAGACTGGGGAGAAAGGAGGAAAGAAAGGCCGTGTTAAAACACAGTTCGAAGCTGAGCTGCTCGGTGACATAACGAGGCCTGTGCGACCACCCAGGAGGAGGTTTTTCAGGCTTCTCTGGGGTGGACATGGCCAAGCGGGGGTCACTTCAGTTGGCTGGGGACTTCGGGTTTTATTTTTGGTTTACACTGGCCTGGGATGGAACTGGGCAGTTCTAATGTGACTGGGTGTGTACTGGTGGCTTCACTCACCCAGGGCAGGCAGGCACCTGGAACCACGACTCAGAAAGAGGCAGGAAGGTGGAGTGAGAAGATGGAGCTATTAGGGGCGTGGCAGGGGCAGGTCAATCACCCTGAGGCTTCGGGGAGTTTCCTGGTCTCCAGAAGGGCAGTGTGCTCACCCTCCCCTGTGCATGGTGTTGTTAAGAGTGTTATCAGGAGTGTCTGCTGAGCTGTGACTTTGCCGTGCCATGCAAATACTCACAGGCAGCACTACTGTCAGGAAGATGGAGGCTGGGCCGGGAGGCTTGCTTTCAAGGCCACGAGTGTCAAACCCACAAACCGCAGAGCAGAACAGCCTTGGCCAAGCAGATGAGGAGGGCCTCATCCTCCATCTCCCGCCACCATCCTCTTCCCAACTGAAGTCAGAGGCGGGGAGGTGGGAAGTCCTGTCAGAGGCAGGGAGGTGGGACGCCCTGGGCCAGACAGATGATCCAAAGCCCTTGGTTTTAGGTACCATCTCTTCGATGTTTCTTGGCTGAGTAAACCAGCCCAATCTCTTTTTTATAAAATGAGACCACAGGTTGGCCTGAGAATGGAGAGGAGTGAGGAATCTAGCTGTTCTGGGGCCCCGGGCTGTTCAGAATCCATTGTAAACCATTGGAAAGCAGGTTTGTGTATTTGTTTAACTGCATCTTGTGGCTGGTCATTGTCTCTGTCTAAGCTCTCACCCAGCCCGGCTGCCTTCCCTGAGTCCCCACCTGACCTGCACAACTGCTGAGGACGAAAGCCTGTGTCCCCGACATGCACGGGAGAGCAGTGTCTTCCCAGGCCCTAGAGTGCCTGGCTGTGTGGGCAGCCCCAGGGCACAGTCTTCTAAAGAACCTCATTGAGGGTCGGGGGTCGGGGGAGTGGGCTCCAGGGTCCACTCCCAACCTTACAGCTTTTACCTCCGGAATCCCCAGGCTTCTGTCAGGAGGGTGCCTGAGTGGCTTACAACAAGAACTTTGCCTATCCCTTTACTGTTCGCAAAACACCATCTCAAAAATCAGTCAACATGGATTCCAAGTTTTGCCTTAGGCCACACTGGATGGAGTTGCCCCCGGCTGGAAGACAGGACCTTTATCCCCAGTGCCACAGGAGGATTCCCCTGTGTGGCCTCCCCACCGGCTGTGCCCTAAGATCAGTGCTGTGTGCACAGCCCAGCAGAGGAGCCCAGGAGACTCCAGCAGGCAGGGAGCTGCTGCCCCAGGAGCACATTCCAGCATCTGGAAACACCTCCCACTGCAGCTGCAGGGGAAGTGCCTGGAAGAGAAGGAAAAGAAAGAGGAGGAGGAGGAAGAGGAGGAGGAGGAGGAAGAGGAGGAGGAGGAGGAGGAAGAGGAGGAGGGTCGTGCCCACGCTCATGGCAAGCGTCACCCTGGAGCTTTCTGTCTCAGTCCAAGCACATCCACCTGCCCTTCCTCACTGCATTCTCCCAGGGGCCCCTGGCTGCACACAGGCATGGCCTGCATTTGCATAGAGGGTCTGGGCCCTTGGTGGAGGGCCTGGCCTGCCCCATCTTGGGTCCTGGCCCAGTGTTGTGGCTGCCAACCTGCCCTCAGAGCTTCACGGGAACCAAGGGCTCAGGCTCTGAGTGGAGTCCGGGTGGGCCTGGGCAGCCTTTGCCGGAGAGGCTCCTTCCTGACATGGCTCTGCTGGAGGAGAAAGTGTCAGTTCCTCTCTCAGGCCCTGTAGACAGGTGTCCAGGTAGACAGGAAGTTCCAGAGGTGATTTTAGCTCAGTCTGTTACTTTTCTGCTGGCAGGCTGGCTTTACTGTGGTTGTCCCTGTGGCCGTTGGCTGATGTTGCTGAAATTCCAGGGCTCTGGAGTGTCCACATGTCCACGGGATGGGAAGCCTGTTGCAGACCAGCCACCATGTCCCTGCGGCTCAGGACCACGCTCCTGAAGCCCAGAGTCCTGCCCTGGGAGCAGGTCTCAGTCAGGACTGACTCCTGAGAAGAATGAGAGGGGAAGTGCCTCCAGGCCGGGATGCCAGCTATAGCAGCGCCCTCCAGCAACGTCCTGGAGGAAGCACCTCATTCGTGCCAAACTCACTGATTCTAATTCGTCATCGTGATTCTTCACAATGAAGAAAAACTCCAAGCCAGTGCCTTCCTGGGGCATGGCAGGCCTCCCTCTGGTCTGAGCAGGCAGCTGTGCCCAGACCTGGGCTCTTCCGAAGGCATGTGACTCCCTTGCACACAGCCGGGTTCTGCTTGATGCTTCTTCACGGTGGAGGCAGAGAGGTTCCCGGGGTTACCCCATCGTCGATAATTTCATCGTTGATACTTTTTTTTTTTTCAGATGGAGTCTTGCTCTGTTGCCCAGGCTCGTGGCGCGATCTCGGCCACTGCACTGCGCTGCAACCTCCGCCTCCTGGGCCACGAGTGTCAAACCCACAAACCGCAGAGCAGAACAGCCTTGTTCTGCTGCCTCAGCAGCCACCATGATTCTCCTGCCTCAGCCTCCCGAGTAGCTGGGATGACAGGCACCCACCATCATGCCTGGCTAACTTTTTTGTAGTTTTGTAGAGATGGGGTTTCGCCATGTTGGCCAGGCTGGTCTTGAACGCCTGACCTCAGATGATCCACCTGCCTCAGCCTCCCAAAGTGCTGGAATTACAGGCGTGAGCCACTGTTTCCAGCCTTTGTTGATACTTTCTAAACCATCCCTCCTAAGCCCGGGTGGCTTGCTGCCTGCAGGGCTCCTGACCTCAGTGGCTGACTCCCCACACCCGACTCCAGCCTGTCCTCCCTGCCTGCTTACCTGGCCGGGTTTTTCCCATTTCGATCCCTGCAGAGGACAAATTAAAGTGAAGATTGTCACCTGTGGGTGGCTTGGGAGAATGAGAGGCAGAGAGGGTCAAAGTGATTGAATTCTGGGTTCAGGAAAAAGGGATATGGGTAATGTGTAAAAGAAGAAAAAAATACAGATGATTTGGTTAAAAGCAATTCGATCAAACACAAATTACTCAAAAGGATTTCTTGGCAGAAATGAAAGATTATTTGAACAATAATGTTCGACAATATCCAATCTCTATCTGGTAATTATCTGGATTTATCCAACCATAGGGTATTATTTCTAAATACCTAAATTAGGGGAATACCTAAGAAAAATGTTATCTTGACTTTTTTGTTGTTGTTGAGATGGAGTCTCCCTCTCTCACCCAGGCTGGAGTGCAGTGGCGTGATCTCAGCTCATTGCAACCTTTGTCTCCCGGTTTTAAGCAATTCTCCTGCCTCAGCCTCCTGAGTAGCTTGGATTACAGGCGCCCGCCACCACACCTGGTTAACTTTTGTATTTTTAGTATAGATAGGGCTTCACCATATTGCCCAGGCTAGTCTCAAACTCCTGACCTCAGGTGATCCGCCCACCTCGGCCTCCCAAAGTGCTAGGATTACAGGACCGCACCCAGCCAATTGACAAATTATTTTTAATTTTTTTTTTTTTTTTTTTTTAGACGGAGTCTCGCTCTGTCACCCAGGCTGGAGTACAGTGGTGCCATCTCGGCTCACTGCAAGCTCCGCCTCCCAGGTTCACACCATTCTCTTGCCTCAGCCTCCTGAGTAGCTGGAACTACAGGCGCCCGCCACCACGCCCGGCTAATTTTTTGTATTTTTAGTAGAGATGGGGTTTCACCGTGTTAGCCAGGATGGTCTCGATCTCCTGACCCCGTGATCTGCCCGCCTCGGCCTCCCAAAGCACTGGGATTACAGGCGTGAGCCACCGCACCGGCCTGTTTTTAATTTTTATTTATTTATTTATTTATTTAGAGATAGGGCCTTGCTCTGTCACCGAGGCTGGAGTGCAGTGGCACAACCATGGCTCACTGCAGCCTCGACACCCCTGGGCTCAGCTGATCCTCCCACCTTAGCTTCCTGAGTAGCTGGGATTACAGGCACATGCCGCCACAACCAGCTAATTTTTGTATTTTTTGTAGAGAGAGGGTTTCACAATGTTGCCCAAGCTGGTCTCAAACGCCTACACTCAAGCGATCCTCCCGTCTTGGCTTCCCAAAGTGCTGGGATTATAGGCGTGAGCCACCATGGCGGGCTGACAAATTAGCATATAAAATATGACTTAATTGTGGATTTTTATAGTTATGGACCCTAATGGGCATAATGAAAGTTATGTATGGAAGCACACCTCAGAGCAAAAATACTTAGAGTGAACCATGGTAATAAGGCTTCAGAGTCCTTTATTTATGTATTTATTTATTTGAGACGGCGTCTCACTCTGTTGTCCAGGCTGGAGTACAGTGGCACAATCACAGCTCACTGCAGCTTCGACTTCTCAGGTTCAATGGATCCTCCCGCTTCAGCCTCCTGAGTAGCTGGGACTACAAGTGTGCGCCACCATACCCGGCTAATTTTTTAAAAATGTTTTACAGAGATGGGGTCTCACCATGTTGCCCAGGCTGAGATTATTTTTATTAAAAAAAAAAAGATTGCAATATGAACTCTCTCCCTTCCTAAACAGATAATGCAGACTTTTTTCCTTTCAAATGAAGAGGTTTTATTGGAAGTTGCATAGAGAACACAGTCAGTCACGAGAGCAGAAGGAGCAGGTTCCAGGATTCTGGGGAGATAAGGGTCCAAGCTGAGAACTCCCCTGAGAAGTCTGTATGCAGACAGCCCCGGGTGATCCTGGCTGTCCAAGGGCTGAGGGCGGGTTGGGAAGGGCCCTCATCACCCCAGGGGCCAGCTCCCCACATAGCAGCTGAGTAGCACCCAGAGAACCCGGATCTTCACTCAAGGTGGCTGGCAGCAGAGCCACAGCCCAGGCCACCAAAGCCACCAGAGCCCCTGTGTGGCAAGGATCATGATGCGAGGGTGGTGAGTTGGTTGCTGTTCTCAGCAGGATCCTGGGTGTAAATGGCCATGCCTGTCCAGCACGGCTTATGGGGCTGAGCATGTGAGAACTTGTGTGGCCTGTGCCTGTGCAAACGCGTGTGCCCTGGGTATCACACCCAGAGCCCTGCTGTGTGAAGAAGCCTCAGTCATCACGTGTGAGCTCACAGTGGGCTGGTCATGGGGCCCCTTCCACATGGTGCACTGCTGCTGCAGGAATTGCTGTGTCTGCAAATTCTGGACATACCAGACCCTAAATAGAATGCTGGGAGCAGGCAGGTTACAGAAGCCTCTGAGTGCGGCAGCTCTATGGGAACTGGGGTGCTTCACTTACAAGTATTTGAGGTATTACAATGTATCCAATTTTTTTTTTTTTTTTTTTTGAGACGGAGTCTTGCTCTGTCACCCAGGCTGGAGGGCAGTGGTGCAATCTCGGCTCACTGCGACCTCTGCCTCCCGGGTTCAAGCAATTCTCCTGCCTCAGCCTCCTGAGTACCTGGGATTACAGGCGCCTGCCACCGTGCCCAACTAATTTTTTTCTTTCTTTCTTTCTTTTTTAGTCAGAGTTTCGCTCTTGTTCCCAGGCTGGAGTGCAATGGCGCCATCTTGGCCCACTGCAACCTCTGCCTCCTGGGTTCAAGCAATTCTCCTGCCTCAGCCTCCCGAGTAGCTGGAATTACAGGCATGCACCACCACACCTGGCTAATTTTGTATTTTTAGTAGAGATGGGGTTTCTCCATGTTGGTCAGGTTGGTCTTGAACTCCTGACCTCAGGTGATCTGCCCACCTCAGCCTCCCAAAGTACTGGGATTACAGGTGTGAGCCACCGTGCCTGGCCAATTTTTGTATTTTTAGTGGAGACGGGGTTTTACCATCTCGGCCAGGCTGGTCTTGAACCCCTGATCTCGTGATCCACCCACCTAGGCCTCCTAAAGTGCTGGGATTACAGGCATGAGCCACCGCACCCGGCCTGTTTATTTTGTTTGTTTGTTTAACTCCCCCTGCACCTCCGCCAAAAAAAAAAAATAAAAGAAAAAGAAAAACTAACCTGTAACTCTGAAGTGTCTGGTAGCCAGGTGCGGTGGCTCGCACCTGTAATCCCAGCACTTTGGGAGGTCGAGGTGGGCAGATCATTTGAGGTCAGGAGTTTGAAACCAGCCTGACCAACATGGTGAAACCCTGTCTCTACTAAAAATACAACAATTACCTGGGCATGGTGGCGCACACCTGTAATCCCAGCTACTTGGGAGGCTGAGGCAGAATTGCTTGAGTCCGGGAGGCAGATGTTGCAATGAGCAGAGATTGCACTCCAGCCTAGGTGACAGAGCGATACTCTGGCTCAAAAAAAATAAAATAATAAAGTCTCTTGCCTTTGGAGTCGGGCATGAAATCTTAATCCGTGAGTTTTCTACCTGGGCCATGGTGGGCCACTGACCACCTTCGGCCTGGATGAAGGCTGGCCCCCAGAGGGTTGCCAAGCTTTGCCAGTGCTCCCTGGCCTGCGTGGGGCCTGGCTGAGGGCGAGGGCAACAGGAATGCATTGTGTCTGGGGCTGAGCAGGACTTGCGGTGCCTGGGCCCTTTGAGCCTGGTGACTCCTGAGTGTGACTCCTGAGTCTGACCCCATCACCCGTGTGGGCTGACACCAGCACCTTCCACGCTGTGCTTCTGTGTTTGCCGCCGGTCTCCAGGAGTGGCCGCTTCTCCATCAAATAATACCCCAGTCTTCACGCCCATGGCTTCCCCCAGACCCCAGCCCAGCCCGAGAACAAACGCTCCATTTTCCCTCCCTTACAGCTGCGGTGGTTGCCACCACATGGAAGGCCCAGAGGAAGGGAGGTCTGGAGTGGCCTGGAGCTGTGGCCTCCCCAGGCTACGGCCAGACCCACCAGGAGGAAGCCCCTTGCAGGCTCTAAGGTTAACGCCGCCAAACCAAGTCCTGATCCTGAGAGGCTGGCTCAGGATGAGGATGGGCGGTGGTGTCATGCACAGGCACCTGAGGTCCCTGGCTGCTGTGGCACGGAGAGGCCCCCACGGAAGGACTCCGCAGGTGCTGGAGCTCGCTCCCTGCATGGATGGCTGCAGCCTGGGCAGGGATAGGGGAGCAAAGCTGCAGGCCCGGCTCATCATGGAAATTCAGACCGGTGAGCCATGGAAGGACATCGCCAAGTCCATGTAGGGTGAGCTGGGGACAGCATGGGGAGTGGGAGGGGGGACAGTGGGGAGAGGGGAGAGCGGGGTGAGCTGGGTACAGCATGGGGAGGGGGACAGTGGGGAGGGGGGAGAGCGGGGTGAGCTGGGGACAGCATGGGGAGGGGGACAGTGGGGAGGGGGGAGAGCGGGGGGAGCCTGGGGACAGCATGGGGAGTGGTGGGGGTGGGGGAAGGTGGAGGGAGGGCAGTGCATGGAGGACAGTGGAAGAGGGAGGCAGTGGTGACAGTGGAGAGGGAAGACAGTGGGGAGGTAGAAGGGAGGAGGGTAGGACAGTCCAGCCCCCATTGGCAGGGGCAGCTGGGGAGAGCAGGCCCCGCCTTTGTGTGCCCCAGGGCCTGGGCCTGCCTGGTTAAGAGTCTGCACACTCCTAGAGCTGGAGCTTCTCAATGTCGCTCTTGGAAGGTGACCCCACACTCCGCTGGGGATAATGCAGGGGGCCCAGGGGTCCTCCCTGGGAAAAGTGTGCTGTGCCCCGCCATAGGGTTCGTGGCAGAAGCCCCTCCCCTGAGCTCAGGCCTCACCTCCGGCCACTGAAGACAAGGAGATGCAGAGAGGAGGCCTCTGGAGTCTTGCCCCTTACCCCTGCACCCCTGCAGCACAGGCAGGGTGTGGTGGCCGTCTTGGAGGCACCCGGGCCTGGACAGCTATTCCAAAGCCATAGCTGCCCTCCCCAGGGTGGGTCGCTTGGTCTTAGGAGCGTCCAAGCTGCAGAGCCCAGTAGACAGAACCTGGATCCAGCGCCTCACTTTACAGGAGGGGAAACTGAGGCACAAGCATGTGCTACCTGGCTCGGGGGCCAGCAGGCAGCCTTTTCCCTTCTGTCACCTGCCCTAGGGATGGACCGCCCCATCTGCCAGCCTTGAATGGAGCCTCCCTGGTGGATGTTTACCGCACACCTACTACGTGCAGGGTGGTGCAGCTGGCGAGAGTCCCCTCTCCTGTTCCACAGACCGGCAAGGTTCCCCTGAGCCCTGGGGCAGGCAGGACCTTTGGCTGGAGGTGGGTGTGCAGGGCAGGGTCTCTGAGGGGAGACCTCAGACTGTGGACTTGCGGGTGGACGCTTCTCTCTGTCGGGGCCTCCCGTGTCCAGAAGATGTTGAACAGCATCTGAGGCTTCCACCCGCTGAAGCCGAGGAACAGCCCCCAGCTGTGACAACCCAAAATGCCTCCAGACCTGGCCCCATGTCCTCCAGGGGGACGGAACAGCCTGGTGTAGGGCAGGGTCCCCTGAGCAGGAGTGGCACCTGTTCCTGCTCATACCACAGACAGCTGAGCTGGCTGTGCCCAAGACTCCCTGCACCCACCGAAGCCACTGGATACAGGCACGATTTGCATCTTACTCTCTTAAGTCAGGTTTCTGGAGATGGCTGTCCCAACACTGGAATCCAGCCTGTCTACAGCAAGGGAGAAAGAGGAAGCTGATGTTGGGCTGAGAGGGGCAGGCGTTACAGGGTAGGTCTCACAAATGCCGACGTGACAGGCAGGGCTTCTGAGGGGGCTTCAGGGACCAGCAGGGAGGCGAGACTCAGGCACTGACCCGCAGAGAGCATGGCCTTGGACGCACAGTGGTGACAGCAGCCTCCAAGTGTCCCCCGTGCCCTCAGGCATGAGGGACAGAAGCTTCTGGGGCCCCTGCCTCTTTCCTGCCCATCCCCTGGTGAAGGAAAATCGCCTCTGATAGGAAAAGCTGGGGCCAGACTCCCTCTCCCTGCATTAGTGTCGCCGTCCTGCCTGTGAGGTCCCCGGGCCCAGGGCACCTCCCGGGACACCCGAGTGGTGATGCACGACCCTCAGTCCTGGGGCTTAGGATCTCTGGGTGCCCCCGCAGGTCCGTCCTGGAGTCACTTCACAGTCACTGCAAATGGGCACCACAGCCCACTTTCCAACGCCCCAACTTTCCACACCCAAGCAGCTCCTTGTCCCTGCCAATCAATGCCCGGTGATGACAACTGTTCTTTTATAAACACCACACATCTTCTAATGCTTTCATGTTAAAAGCGGGAGTGGATCCCACATTCACCTAAAGGCCCAGGTAGGGACTTTTTTTGCAGAAAACCAATTTCTTGTAACAAGTACTGGAACCTCATTGTAGCCTTGAGTCCTCACTCCTCCTTTTGTTCTAAGTCTGGGTCTGAGAAGTGCAGGCCTCACACAGCTGTCAGTTCCAAGTGACCAGGGCTGTAACAGGTCCTGGCTGACCCTGGGAATGTCAGGGGATTCTGGGAAGTAAGAAGGAGGGGCATTTGCCCATAGCCCCGGGGCAGACAATGTGTCCCGAGGGCCAGGCCAGGCTGTCTACTCCATCTCCCTGGGGCGAGTGCACCTCGGGTCACCTGGCAGCATCCTTTCCAGCCCTTCTGGAGACAGTCAGCAGCTGATTCATTCCGGGAACCAGCATGGCAGGTGCCGGGGCTGGTCAGGGCCCAGGGCTGTACCCCTCAGCACTGCCCCCTTGGGACTGTTGGGCTCCGAGGAGCCTGGCGCTGGGGTCGGAGGTCTTCATCAGGACCCTGGGGACCCTCAGGGTTGAGTGGGGTGGGGCTGCTGAGGGTGGTGGGGGCCGGGGGAGCCACCTCTCACTTTGGGGATCATTGCTGAGGTGAGAAGGGGGACTGTGGCCACCAGGTGATACCCTCTCCATGCACCTAACTGCTGCTCAGGACTCTGGGGACCGTGTTGCCAGGCCTGCGCCTGCTGGACATGGGCGTCTCCAGCCCTGCTGGGCTGTGTCTTTCTCGCTGCAGAGCCAAGAGCCCCGGCAGCCCCTGTAGCCAAACACGGCCCTGGCACAGCCTTTCTTCTGGCAAACTCCACCCGTGCGTCTTCCAAAGGTGGCTCAACTTTTCACCGGAACAGCCGAGGGACATTGTTCCTCCCAGGGAATGTGGCAGAGGACACTGAAGCCCAGTGGGGACTTCCGGGGGCTCCTCGGTGTGGACGGCTAACTACACTTGTGGGCACACACATGAGTGGGTCCTGTGGCTTCCGGGCGGGAGGCAGGTTGGGAGCGTTCAGGGCAGAAGAGCTCCTGTGACCGTGTCCCCTGCAAACAGCCTCGCGTGACCCCAGCAGCACAGAGGCCGTCCTGGAAGAGCGGACGCCCAGTCTTCTTTTTAAACCAAACACCCTTCGGTCTCAGGATCCCGCATCCCACGGGAAGACCCACAGTGGGTCTGGGGTACTGGGAAGAGCCTGGTGCTGAATCCCGCACGCTCCGGGTAGAGACAGCCCATCACCAGTCCCTTCCTGTGGGTGACTGGCAGTGACAGCGGGGAGCCCACTCACTTGGGGACATTTGCCTTTGGTGTGGATGACGCTTTTGAAAGGGCCTCATTCCAGGATCACAGCCAACGCCAGCAGGTTCTCCCTGGGATCCAGCAGTGGTCCTTCTGGGGGCTGCCCCAAGTGCTCCCCTGCAGTCTGGGAGTCCATGCTCAAGCTGCCACCTGGCCTCTCACGGTGGCGTCTCACGGAAGCCCTGTCCACGCTCTGGGCGGTGAGCTCCGGTCAAACGTGGCCTTGGAAGGGAGATGAAGGAGAGAGAGGAACATGAAGCACCCCTTTCCCTTCTGCAGGCAGACGCCGGTTTTCTCAGGACTCAGCTTGGTGGAAACACAGGGTTTAAAGCTTCGGAAACAGCGGCCTGTTCAGGGAACTTCGACTGGCTCCGACGGGAACAGGCCGGCCGTGTTTTTAGCAAGCTGTGTTCCTGCATCATCTGGATGGGCCGACCTGGCCTTGGAAGTGCGTTTCTGCGGTCGGCCATCAGCTCGCCTGGGTCCACAGGTGACACCACAGCGTGGTGGCTGCGCACACCCTGAGCCCACTGTCCCCGGGGAACCCCTTCTCCTGGGCGGCAAACAGGGCTCGGAGGGGATCCTGGCCCATGGCGGGGAGCCCGGCTGGCCTGCCTGCGAAGCCCAGCGCCCCTTGCAGCCAGAGGCACCTGCCAGGTGGGTGACCGTGTGTGGACATTTTTCCCAAATTGGACAGGAATCCACATCTATGTTGCTCCTGGAA
This sequence comes from Homo sapiens, assembly GCF_000001405.40. Lineage (NCBI taxonomy): Eukaryota > Metazoa > Chordata > Mammalia > Primates > Hominidae > Homo > Homo sapiens. The sequence goes on along the minus strand of NC_000021.9, from coordinate 5,034,079 downwards.
CTGAGGGGCAAACGAGAGCTGCAGGAGTGGCTGCCACAGAGAGAAGCTGGCGGTGCCCGGACCCGCTCCGGACACCCCACAGGGGCTGGGCGCCGGTGCCTGGACCCGCCCTGCACACCCCACGGGGGCTGGGCGCCGGTGCCTGGACCCACTCCGGACACCCCATGGGGGCTGGGCGCCGGTGCCTGGACCCGCCCTGGACACCCCACGGGGGCTGGGCGCCGGTGCCTGGACCCGCCCTGGACACCCCACGGGGGCTGGGCGCCGGTGCCTGGACCCACTCCGGACACCCCATGGGGGCTGGGCGCCGGTGCCTGGACCCGCCCTGGACACCCTGGTCGGGGCTGGGCACTGGGGAGCGCGGGAGTCTAGCACTCGTCTCTCTGCTTCTGTGCATGTTGGGAAAATCCCATCGCAGTGTGACAAAGTGCACACCAGGATGCCATCCCATGCCAAGGGGAGGCTGCAGGAAATGCCGTGCGCACCATCGAGGGCTTCGCTGCGTCTCCAGGAACAACAGTTGTTCAAGGCAAGGGACTTCTGCCTTCTGAAAGTTTTTTGAAACTCTGAAAGACAGCTGGCAGCCAAGCCTCCCCTGGGCCCCCCAGAACCTGCTGCTTCCCACGGCAAACTCACCAGTGAGCTCTGTCTCCGGACTCACAGCCCAGGCACCTGGAGGACAAACCAAAATGGTCAGGGCAGCAGCGACGGGGGGTGTCCCTAAAGCCCCTGGTGTTCCTGAGCTCTCAGCAGCCCCCTAAACACCCTACTTGGAAGTCTCCCCGAGGCTCCCAGCTCCAGGCGGGGAAAACACTCACAGATGAGGGGCTCCCCAGGCCACGTGGCTTTTGAGAAAGATCCTCTTAAAGGGGTACGTGCCTGGGAAGCACTTAAAATGCTGTGACCTGGATCTGGGGCCCTTCTGCGGCCCAGCCAGCAGTGGCATCATGGCCGTGGAAGATGTTTCTGGGATGACTGAGATTGGCCACAAATGGGAAAGCCAGGGGCAGCCCACAGGAGCCGCCCCTACTCCGTGGCCACTGCGCCTGCACTCCATTGACTGCCACCCTTGGGGGGTTCTGGGAAGAGCCCCCCCCGTCATCAGGACCATCACTGCAGCCAACGTTCAGGGCTTCCTGCGCCACTGCGTCCTGCTGCTGTGTCTTACATGGCTGAAACACAGACCTCCGGGCTCTGTCGCGGAGCTGGCCAGAGTCACAGACCCACAGGGCAGGAGTGCTCAAGGCAGCCTCAGCGGCTTCCCTGGAAATGACCACCACCCCGGCCTCTACATGCAGAAGCCACCCTGCCCACCCGACCTGCAGGGCAGACCTCGCAGCGCCCTTCTGGCTTGGCAGTGTCAGGAATGTCAGAGATGCTGGGTTTCAAAACCACTTTGTGGGATAGTTCGGGTTGCTAAGCCTCATGAATATTAGTGCTACCACAACAAAGTTCCTTTGTTTTTTTGGGGGGGACAGAGTCTTGCTCTGTCGCCCAGGGTGGAGTGTAGTGGCGTGATCTCGGCTCACTGCAAGCCCCGCCTCCCGGGTTCACGCCATTCTCCTGCCTCAGCCTCATGAGTAGCTGGGACTACAGGCGCCTGCCACACGCCCGGCTAATTTTTTGTATTTTTAGTAGAGACGGGGTTTCACCGTGTTAGCCAGGATGGTCTCGATCTCCTGATCTCGTGATCCACTCGCCTCGGCCTCCCAAAGTGCTGGGATTACAGGCGTGAGCCACCGTGCCCAGCCTACCACAATAAAGTTTCAAGCTAAATCAGTATCAGTGAGGGAAGTTAAAGCAGGCAAACATTCACACCAACAGGACAAACACTAACATCCACAATATGGGGCCGTCTCTACCTGCATAGCTGTGTTGGAGGCATCGGTCCCTGCACACCCAGCCTATGGCCACCGCCACGACCACAAGCAGGCACAGGACAGCCAGGATGCTCCACGTGGCCGCGTTTTTCTCGCCGGTACTGACTGGATTCTCTGTGATCTTGTCTCTCTCTCCGATGTCATTTCCTACAAGAAAGAGGAAAATAACCCGACTTAAAGGATCTTAGAGGAAAAGGGTCTTTTTTTTCATCCTTGAGTAGAAAGTGTTGCAGGGAAGTATTTATTCCAGAGAACTTCCCTGACATGATTTTGAGGTTTTAAAAACACCAAACTGATGAGATGAGGGTTTTCTCTTGCAGAGGGGCTTCATTTCCTGCAGGGATCTTGTTCCTCCTCGTCCTACCTGGGAGGGGCGATAACCCCAACCACAGCCAGGGGACCATAGGGCTGGGTATGGTGGGAAGCACAGGTTCTTACTGGATTTTTTTTTTCTTTTTTTTTGAGGCAGAGTCTTGCTCTGTTGCCCACGCTGGAGTGCAGTGGCGTGATCTTGGCTCACTGCAAGCTCTGCCTCCTGGGTTCACGCCATTCTCCTGCCTCAGCCTCCCGAGTAGCTGGGACTACAGGTGCCCACCACCATGCCTAGCTAATTTTTTGTATTTTTTTAGTAGAGACGGAGTTTCACCATGTTATCCAGGATGGTCTCGATCTCCTGACCTTGTGATCCACCCACCTCGGCCTCCCAAAATGCTGGGATTACAGGCATGAGTCACCGCGTCCGGCCCTTACTGGATTTTTAAAAATCAAAGTGAGGTCAGGCACGGTGGCTCACGCCTGTAATCCCAGCACTTTGAGAGGCCAAGGCGGGTGGATCACCTGGGGTTGGGAATTTGAGACACACCTGGCCAACATGCAGAAACCTTGTCTCTACTAAAAATACAAAATTAGCCAGGTGTGGTGGTGCATGCCTGTAATCCCAGCTACTCGGGAGGCTGAGGCAGAATTGCTTGAACCCGGGAGGCAGAGGTTGCGGTGAGCCGAGATCGCGCCATTGTACTCCAGCCTGGGCAACAAGAGTGAAATTCCGTCTCAAAAAAAAAAAAAAAAAAAAAAGGTGAAAGCCACATAACATAAAATTAACCATTTCATTTTATTTATTGAGCTTTTGAGACAGGGTCTTGCTGTGTTGCCCAGGCTGAAGTGCAGCGGTGTGATCATAGGTCACCGCAGCCTCGACCTCCTGGGCTCAATCAGTTCTCCCACCTCGGCCTCCCAAGTAGCCGGGACTGCAGGCGTGCACCACCAGGCCTGGCTAATTTTTTTTTTGGTAGAGATGAGATCTCACTATATTGCTCTGGTTGGTCTTAGGGCTTAAGTGATCCTCTTGCCTCAGCCTCCTAAGTAGCTGCAACTATAGGTGTGCACCACCTTGCCCAGCCAAAATGAGCCACTTTATGCTTTATTTATTTATTTACTTTTTTGAGACACAGTCTTCCTCTGTCACCCACTCTGGAGTGTAGTGGTGCGGTCTCGGCTCACTGCAGCCTCCGCCTCCCAGGTTCCAGCAATTCTCCTGCCTCAGCCTCCCGGGTAGCTGGGATTACAGGCACATGCCACCACACCTGGCTAATTTTTGTATGTTTAGTAGAGAAGGGGTTTCGCCATGTTGTCTAGGCTGGTCTCAAATTCCTGACCTCAGATGATCCACCCACCTCAGCCTCCCGAAGTGCTAGGATCAGGTGTGAGCCACCCCTCCCGGCCCAAAATGAACCATTTTAAAGTGAACAATTCAGGGTGCCAGTGCCATCATAACCACCACCTAATTCCAGGACCTGTAACCCCCAAAAGGGAACCTTGTGTCCATGAGCAGTCACTCCCCACTCTTCCCTGCCGTCTGCTGTCTTTCTGGGCAGTTCATCGGGGAGAATGGTCGTGTCCATTTCAGATGGACTGTGAGCCCGTGTCAGCAGCAAGAAGGAGCAGATCCAAATGAGGGGGTCTCAGAACAGCTGGGGCCTCTAATTTTTCTCTTAAATTTTGTTCTCATTTAGTGCTTCATGGCACTCCCTTCAAATTTCACTTTTAAAACTCTAGCTTGGACGTGGTGGCTCACACCTGTAATCTCAGCACTTTGGGAGGCTTAGGCAGGAGCATCGCTTGTGTCCAGGAGCTTGAATCTAGCCTGGGCAACACAGTGAGGCCCCATCGCTACAAATAATCAAAATTAGCCAGGCGAGGTGCATGTGCCTGTAGTCCCAGATACTCAGGAGGCTGAGGCAGGAGAATTGCTGTCCTCCTGCACCAGAAGCCTCCAGTTGCTTTGTGTCTCAGTGGCTCACCCTATTCTGGACACTTTGCATAAACAGAGTCCCACAGGCTTGTCCTCAGGTGTCTGGCTCTGTCACTCGCATAATGGCCTTGAGGTTCTCCACGCCGCAGCGTGCGTCAGGACAGCGGCCTCCTTCCTTTTTCAGGCTAATTCTCCCCTGCACGCATGGATCACGTTTGGTGCATCCGTCCACCCACGAGGAACACTCGGGTGGTTCCTACCTTCTGGCTGCCATGAACATTCACGGACAGGCATTTGTTTGAGTCCCTGTTCTGAATCCTCTGGCCTATATCGCTAGGAGAGAACTGCTGGGTCCTGCAGTGCTTCCACGCTGAGCTTTTCGAGGAACTGCCACAACGTTCCCCATGGCAGCTGCGCCCTTCTGCTTTTCCGCCACGATGCACAAAGCTAACAATGCCTCTGGTCTCTGTGTGCAGTGCCCTTCAGAGAGCCGTCCTCACCGGCAAACAAGCAGCGGCATCCCCCTGGGAGCTTGTTCTGAATGCCCGGCGCGTCTCCAAACACACTTGGAGAAACCACCTGGACGGTGCTCAACCTTGAACCTCTGAAGCTTTTAGACACTGTCCCGATGCCAGGTGCCAGCCCAGAGCTTCAGGTGCAATGGGTCTGGGCATGGGGGCTTTCATAGGCTGCCCAGATGACCCCACTGTGTGGCCGGGGTTGAGACGACAGCCCTGGGAGAAGCTTCTGCTGCCACCTGGGCTGCTCTGCGGGGAGTATGCTGGCTGGAAGGCAGTTATCAGAGGCTGCTTTGGGAGCAGCCCCTCATCCCGCTGCATGCAGCTCAGACACTCTGAATGTTGAGTCAGAAGGGCTGAGCCCTGATTTCAAGAAGGAGAAGGTCCGGCTCTGCCGGGGATCCTGGCGGCCAGGGTGGACTTCGAGGGTATGACCTGTGCAGGCTTCTGGGGTTGAGCTCAGAAAGGCCGGCAGGAGGTGCAATGCTTGTGGTCACTGTCTGGAATTCTTAATGCTCCCGAAACAAGGAGCCCTGCATTCTTGCTTTGCCCAGGGCCACACGGTGAGTCCTGCTGGCAGCCCCTTTCCTGCAGCCAGCAGGGCCCCAGGACCCCTCCTCGATCATCTCCTGCCTCCATCTTCTGCCTCTCATCCTGACACAGGAGATGGGGACACAAATGGGGAGGGCCTGTGTCCTCTACAAAGGAGTCCCCGTAGAGGAACCCCTTCCACAGGGCACCCCTTCCACAGGGAGGGGCTGGGCCAGCAGCCGTGCGCAGTGGGATTCCCGTGTCTGGGGGCTTCAGTCTTCTCAGGGGACACACGCCCAAGAGGCAGGGAGCTTGGGTGGGGGCTGCACAGCTGTGGGCTTCTGTTCTGGGCTGCTGCTGCCTAGTGCTGCGGCTTCTGAAGTGTTACCCAGCCTCAGAGTTCAGCCCTCATCTGTAAAGTAGGTTTAAGAAAACCGACTCCAGGTGAAGAAAATGGAGCAATATGCACTGGGCACGGCACCCATTCCTGTTCCCAGAGACCGCGGTGGTTCTCACTGTGCGGCATGTGCCTCTCACCTCCCCTCCCTTCCAACCACCTTTCGGGTGCTGAGCCGCGTCGAAGGGACTTTTTGTCTCCTACCTCAGAGGCTCTCCCAAGCCAGCCCTGGCCCCACTGTCGGGCACAGCTCAGCACGCAGGCGCCGGGACCTTACCTGTCTGGCTGCCGACAGTCAGGTTCTGCTGCAGAAGCACGTTCTCTATGCAGCAGCCAATGTTCACGCTGGGGGTCCGTGCGATCCTCAGCACGCTGACCACGTCATACAAGCCCCGCATGTTCAAGAAGACGGTGTCATTCTGCAGAGCCTGGTCCAGCAGGCTGTTGTCCGTCTTATTGATCCAGTACACGTTGGGCCTGGGGTAGCCGTTTATGGATGTACACGTGAAGGTGAGCTCATCCTGGGAGGGGCTGTGGGGGGCGCTGACGACGGGCACGCTGAAGTTTGCTGCAGGGGAGGGAAACAGATTGTGAGAGATGCCAGACCCTGCTGGTCAAGAAACAGAGGGTACACGGTGCCAAGGCTGGGTCAGAGGGGAGGCGGCCCATTGTGCCCCGACATGGGTGACAGGCCAGGACCAGGGCTGTGGTCCGAGCAGCAGGCTCCGCCCTGTCCTGCCCAAGAGTCATCCCCCAAGCCAGTCCCAGTAGCCAGGGACCGCTGAGCCTGTCGGGCAGTGACTGGCACCCACAGACCCCCCACTCCACAGCCGTCGGCTGTGCCGGGACCCCCTCATTTGGATCTGGTCATTCTCACTGCTGACACAGGGGCTCACAGTCCATCTGAAATGGACACAGCTGTTCTCCCCAATGAACTGCCCAGAGCTCCTTGGTTGCCTCTTATTTTTCTCTTAAATTTTGTTCTCATTTAGTGCTTTATAGAGTTCCCTTCAAATTTCACTTTTAAAACTCTAGTTTGGATGTGGTGGCTCACGCCTGTAATCACAGCACTTTGGGAGGGTGAGGCAGGAGGATCGCTTGTGTCCAGGAGTTTGAGACCAGCCTGGGCAACATAGTGAGACCCCATTTCTACAAATAATCAAAATTAGCCAGGCGAGGTGGCATGTGCCTGTAGTCCCAGATACTCAGGAGGCTGAAGCAGGAGAATTGCTTGAGCTCAGGAGGTCAAGGCTGCAGCGTGATCACGCTACTGCACTCCAGCCTGGGCAACAGTGAGACCCTGTCTCAAAAAACAAACTAATTGGCCAGGCGCGGTGGCTCACACCTGTAATCCCAGCACTTTGGGAGGCTGAGGCGGGCGGATCACGAGGCCAGGAATTTGAGACCAGCCTGGCCAACATGGTGAAACCCTGTCTCTACTAAAAATACAAAAATTAGCTGGGTGTGGTGGCACGCGCCTGTAGTCCCAGCTACTCGGGAGGCTGTGGAGAATTGCTTGAACCCAGGAGGCGGGGGTTGCGGTGAGCCAAGATTGTGCCACTGCACTGCAGCCTGGGTGACAGAGCGAGACTCCGTCTCAAAAAACAAAAACAAAAACAAAAGCTAACTAACTCAAGAGGCAAAGACAGCAAGGGTAGGAGCTCTTCCGGGAAACCAAGCAGCCGCAGGTCATGCACTAAGGATTTTTCAGCTGTTTAGTTTCCCTCGAAGTTAGACAGAAGCCTGATAACACAGATGAGAATTTTCTTCACTGGAAGAAACAGTGAATGAGCCAGGGAGGGGGTTTCATGAACACTTGTCCACGATGTGAGGCTGGGATGGACCTAGCTCTCCCCGCCTCGATGGTCCTACCTGCCACATGCAGTGTAACCTCAACGCTCAAAACCTCCTGGAATCCCAGGGATTGGCTCAACACCAGGCAGTGAAACTTCTGCTCGTCCTGGGGGGTGACGTTGAACAAGCGCAGGGAGAAGTCGCCCCGCAGCATGCCGGCCGGTGACATCAGGGCTCGGTTCCGGTAGCGGCTGTCCACGTTTTCCAAGGAGCTGTTCTGTGGGATGTGGTAGGTCACCACGGTTTTCGACTCACTGGTTTGCCAATATACGTAAACATCATTTAAATCAAAACGGCTTCCTTCAGGGCAAGCGCAGCTGAGCTCCACGTCGCTGCCTACCATCGCTCTGACTTCCTTCTCCTGAGTATCTGCAATGGCCCAAAAGGTGCAAAATCTGTTTTCGGAGGCTGATGCCCAGGCCATGAAGCTACTCTATGGGGCAGACTTTGGGTTTCAAGCCTCAAACACCAACGGTGGCTCAGAATTTATTAACAAGGCACATGTAGGAATGCAGTCAAACTTGAAAAACGCAGACATTTCATGGTGAGGTCCATGTCAGTCTTTGGCTTCGATGACACACTCCTGTTATGTAAGGGGCTGCCATGGGGAGGAGCGGCTGGATGGGGCCTGGCCGCTCAGTGTTATTTTTGTTACTCAGCACTACTTTTACTACTTCTCGGGAGTCTATAATTAATGCACAATAAAAAGTTCTTTAAGGGAAAGGCATTTAAGGGAAAAGAATTTCTCAGCAATTACATTATATTGCTGCTCACTTGCAGTAGGAAAGCTGTCACAAATGTGGCAGACACAGGGTAGCTTTACTGTTTGTGCAGCTACGTAAATGCCTGTGGGAAAATCTTTTTTTTTGAGATGGAGTCTTGCTCCGTCACCCAGGCTGGGGTGCAATGGCGTGATCTCAGCTCACTGCAACCCCCGACTCTGGGGTTCACGCCATTCTCCTGCCTCACCCTCCCAAGTAGCTGGGATTACAGGTGCCCGCCACCATGCCCAGCTAATTTTTTGTATTTTTAGTAGAGATCGGGCTTCACTATGTTGGCCAGCCTGGTCTCGAACTCCTGACCTCAGGTGATCCACCCGCCTTGGCCTCCCAAAGTCCTGGGATTACAGGAGTGAGCCACTGCACCTGGCACCTGCAGGAAAATCTGTGTGTGTCCCCTGCCCCCAAAGCCCTCTGGGCTGGAAGGCTTGGCAAGGTTTCAGGTTTGTGCTGCGGTGCTTCGTCCTTATTCCTGGCTCTTCCAGAGGCTGGTGGCTCTTAGGGCTCAGCAGGGCTGCTGCCTGGGACAGGGAGACCAGGGGACCCAGGAAGCCCTGGCTCAGAGGAACTGCATTCTGCCCGCAACAAAGACGGAGTCAAACAAGAACTCCGGAGTTTGCAGAAGTGTTTCCCTTTAAGGAAACGCTTCTATCCTGTGCAGCAACCTAGGTTTAGGGTCCAACTGTCTCCAAAGGACCACTTGAGAAGCAAGAAGGAGCCTGGTGAGGCTGCTCCCAGTGCCCTGCGGCCAGCAGTCCACACAGCCGGAGAGCCCATCTCTGAGCTGGGCGCCCCATGGCAAAGCACCCCCTGAACTTACCAGCTCGAAGGCTGCTGAAGAGCAGGAAGAGCAGTCCAGGACTGGAAAAAACAACCAGAAAGGCAGGTGAGGCGGGGCCACCAGGGAGTTACCTGTATCTTCCAAACAGGAACAGGCTGGTTCCCATGAGCAGGAGGTAGTTAAGCCCATCACAGAAATGTGAAGGCAGAGCCAGGAGCCTGCCTGCCTCTGTTCTCCATGGGAATTCGGGGTCCGGGGCCAGGACCACCACCCTCCTGCCCAGCACAGCAAGTCCGAGGGGCTGGCAGCCTCTCACCACTCTCTAGCTCTCGCGGTAACAAATCCCCAGAAACACAGTGATGCTGGCGTGAGGATGAAGGGGAGCGAGGGACGCCAGTGAGGCTGGTCTAGCCTTCCTGGGGACAGATGCCAAGAAGTTGTAGGAAATCAGAAAAAAAAAAAAAAAAAAAAGCTTTCAGGGCACATATAGTAGGAGTGTCACTTAAAATGCTGGGGAGACGGAGAACATCAGGCGTGCCCGTGACAGGGTCAGGTGAGTGACGGGACAGCCCTGTGCGGAACGCGGATCATTTTGAAACCAAACCTGAGCTCCTCCTGTTTCAGATCCTGCTGCAGCTGGTGCCCCTGCCTCGGGCAGCAAATTCCCCTCGTGACTCCAATGCCCCTGCCATCTTGGGTCTGGGAGCCTTTGCACCCTGCACGCCACAGGCTCGCCACCTCCTCCCGCCAGCCCCCAGGATGCCTTCCCCACGTGGGGGCCCTTAGTGGCCGGGACCACTTTGGTAGCAGTGCTTACCCCAGCCCCCCAAACCATCAGTTTCTGGGGCCAGCTCCCCATGAAGCAAGAGCCCCAGGAGCAGGGACATCTCCTTCTCTGATGTCCCTGCACCTCCAAGGTCTGGGAGACGCTCATCCCTCTTCTCTGTGGCCTCTGCCTGGGAAAGCTTGGGGGCTTTGTAAGTCAAAGGTTGGTCTTGTGGGAACCTCCCAGTGGGCTGTCCCTGAGCCCTGGAGCCACAGAAACCCCTGCCCCACCCACGATGGCTGTCATCTGAGTCTGCATGGAGGTGTGTCTGTGCCAAGTGAGCACACATGCACCAAGGCGGCCCCTGGCCACCAGGGGCTCTTGAAGTCTGCAGGCGGCCCTTCCTCTCTCTCCCACTCCCCCTGTTGGGGCCACCATTCTGGCTGGCAAGATGGCTGTGATGGCCTCCAGCAGGCCCCCTGCCTCCACCCTTAGCCCCTTCAAGCATTTCCCCAGAGCCACCATCTAAACGACAGCTGTGAGAACTCCTCTGTGCCCCCATTTGTCTCCCACAGTGCCCATATTCATCACCAGCCCACAAGGCCCCTCCTGTCTATGGAGGCCTCCTCAGGACATCTGGGGGCTTCCTGGGCCAGGGTGGGGGGTGCCTGCTCCAGGCTGTTTCTGGCTTGTCCCCTCCCTGGGTGCTGCCTAAGCAGCGGCCTCTGTGTCCTTTCCTTGGACCCTCAGCACCCCTGCATCTAACCTACCCCCACCCCGAGCTTGCCTCAAGACCCAGCATGGACAGGGCCGCCTACCTGAAGGTGTGGGTGGCGGAGGGCTAAGACATTTGGGAGGGCTATGACATTCCGGGACCTTTAAATTCTTTCTCTCTAGGGCAGGATCATAACTGCATACACTTCTAATGGGGAGGGGACCTGGGGAGTGTGACTCCGGTGTGGCCCAGCTCTGAGCTGTGCGGGAGGCATCCCTGGGGTCAGGGGCCTCACAGGTTCACCCAGGGGAGCACAGGCTGCGGACCCTACAACGTGGGTTGCGAAGAGTATATTTTGGATATTTTCGCAAAAATCCAGGAGGAAGCTGTCACTCCTGGTTCAGGCAGCCCCGCCTTCCCCAGTGTGGATCGGCTGCCGGGCTGCGGGGAATCCCACGTGTGTGGGGGAGGGCGTGTCCGCAGACCGTGGGCACCAGCTGGCCTTGGAGAGCGCTCGGCCGGTCACCTCCCTCCTTCTCCCTTCTTCTAGGAAATCAGCAGTGCCAGGGAGTGGAAGGGGCAGCGCCCGTGCCCCGGCGTGCAGGGTGCGCCCGCCTTCCCTCCCTCCTTCCAGCGTTCGCGGTCCTCCTTCCCTGGCAGGGACCCCGCCCCCGAGCCCGCCCCCGCACGGCTGTGCGTCCTGCCATGGGTCCCGGTGCCAGGCCCCGCCGCCCACTGCCGTCCACGCCCCGCCGGCCGCCCCGGCGCCTCCGCCGCCCGCTCCTCGGACCCGCACTGCCAGCCCGGCACCTCCAGGCGAGCCCCGCAGGCCCCGCGTCCGAGCCGAGCTGGGGACGCGCGGGCCGAGCCACCCCGCCCCTGACCGCGGCGCCTCCGCTCCTTCCCCGGCTCACCTGCCCAGCCGCATGGTGCGGGCGGAGACCTCGGGCCGCGGAGACCTCGGGGCGCGGAGACCTCGGGGCGCGGAGAACTTGGGCCGCGGGAGACCTCGGAGAGGAGCAACCTCGGGGCGCGGGAGATCGGCTCTAACTGCGCTCCCGCCGCGCCCGAGGCTCTGAGCGCCCAGCGCGCGGTGTGCTGGAGGCAGCCGTGTCCCCGCCCCGTCCCCGCCCCGCCCCCGGCCTGGCTCCTCTGGCGACCGAGACCGCCCCGGGACAGGAGGCGGGGCGCTGCGCGGCGGCTCCGGAAAGTTCGGCTCTGCCCAGGCGTGTGCCCGTCGGCCGGAGGCGGGACAGAGGCAGGTCGGCCTGTCCGCCTGGACGCGGACCTGGGCGCCGTAGGTGCCCTGGGAAGCGCAGGGGTGGGGGGTACCCGGCAGGAAGGTGGCCAGGGGTGCTGCGGGTGCCGGCGCAGCGAGGGAGGGCACCGTGGGAGGCAAGGGCCGTTCCCCGCGCCGCGCACAATGCGCCGGTCCTGCGGCCCTCCCCGAGCAGGAGTCCGGGGACCCAGGCCCCAAGGCTGGGAGAGCGCCAGGCCCCTGGCCGGCTGCGCTCCGATGATCTCCAGGACTTAAGGCGAGTGAGCTCAGCGACTGCTGAGGAATGAATGACTGAATGAACGCATGCATGAATGGAAGGAGGGAGGGAAAGTGGGCGGGCTCTACCCTCTGGGCCAGCCCCAGCCCGCCCCCACCTAGCCTTGCTCCCCTAGCCTTCTAGGGGTGTGAAGGGCGCTGGCGCAGCCTCTTTGCTTAACACTGGCTCTGAGGATCCCCCGCCGAGAAACCGAGGCAGGCTTGCGGCTCTGGGCTCGTCAGCCTTGGCAGTGGCGTCTGGCCTGGAGTCTGGGGCAGCTGGTTTGGGAAAGGCTGCACCACGCAACCGAGGGTGGGACCCAGAGTCCCTGCTCCTTCCCCACCGCACCCAGCCCACCCCGCCCTCCCTCCCTGATCCCTGCAAGCCAGGTGAGGCCCAGGGGGGACGTGACTCCCTTTCTGCAGAGGCACCTCCGGAAGGGCCTGGGTGAGGCTGCTAGACAGGGCAGCGGGGCACCCTCCTCCCGGAGCCCCCGCCTCTGGGCTGAGGCTCGGATCCCCACCGCCTCCTGCGCATGGAGGAGGCGAGAAGCGCAGGGAGACGGGGGCCCCAGACGGCACCCCGCAGGCTGCCATTCCTTCAACCAAGATGTAGAGAACGCCGTGGACAAAAGCTTTAAAAAAATTCTGAAACCTCTGCCCGTGGGAAGTCAACATTTTTGCGGAGCAGAGAGCCCAGGCACAAAATAAGAAGGCGGAAGAGACGGGCTGGGGGGATAGGGGGGACGGCGGCGGGGAAGGGCAGGGAGGGCGGCGGCGAAGGCGCAGGAAGCCCTGAAGCCGGGCGGCTTCCCCCTCCCAGGCCACGCTGAGAGACGGGGGTTGGGGGGATTTAAAATCGCGCGCCTGGCAGGGGCGGGGCGGGGGCCACCTGCCCTCCGGCGGGAAGAGCTGGGCAGGGCCCGCGGAGTGCAGGGCGGAGGCACTGGCGGTCCGCACCCGGGTGAGGTGAGGCGCGTAACCGCATCTGAGCCGGACTCTTTAGGACGAGTCCCGTCCCTGGAGTCAGAAAACCCGGTCCAGCGCCAGCGTGGACGTGCGCTTCCCGGGACACGCCCAGGGACGCCGGCTAGGACCGGCGAGGCTGGAGGGGTGGCGATGTTGGGGGCTGAGGTTCCTCGCCCCGGGGCGGGCGGCTGCTGGTAAGGGACCGCATGGCCCCGCAGGTGAGGAGGGCGCAGGTGAGGAGGGCGCAGGTGAGCCGGGCGGGCTGCGGGCAGCGCCACCTCCTCCCGGAGGCCCTCCCTGATTGACCGGCCGGGAACCGCGCGCCTCTGGGCCTGCGGCTGAGGTCCGGGGCTGCGCCGCGCCGATGAGCTGACGCCGGGCCGAGCGCTCCACCCCCAGGGCCGGGCGCACCTGAATCCCCTCCACCCGCGGGACTGCGGAGAGGGGGACGGCCCCCGGATACCGCGTGGGGGCTTTGGGAGGATGGGGAATGGGTCCTGGGGGAGCAGAGCCTCCCAAATTAAGGCCTCCCAAGAGCGCGGCCGGTCATCCGCGGCGGCGAAGGGAAGGTGCCCTGTCGGTGCGTCCGGACCCCGCAGCCCCCCAGTGCCGCCCGGGGGCGGTGGGAGAGGGGCCGACACCGCAGGGCCCGCCGTGCTGTGGCCGAGGGGGCAGGTCCAGGCTCTGCTTCCCGGGCAGACGCCGGAGACCCCAGCAAGCCAAGTGCTGCGGGCAGCCCCCCCCCCGCCCCCCCGAGAGAGGGGACGCCGCGTGGAGGCCACAGCCAGGCAGGGGCAGGAAGGCAGCTGGGCCAGAAGGGGACACTGAGGCAGGCCGAGGCGGCCGCGGGGGAGGGTGCCAGGACCAGCCCAGGAACCTCGGAGACCACGGTAAGCGGTGGCTGGTTCAGATCCCAACTCCGGAGCTGTGTGACCCCAGAAAGTTCCTTAGCCCCTTGGTGCCTGCATCCCCTGACGTGTGACATATACATGAATGGGGCTGTTGTAAGTGAACGCACACAGCACACCGGCACATGTGTCACAACACTTAGATGGGTTTAGATGAAGAAACAGGGAAACCTTTGGGAAGTTTCCTGTAGTCAAAGGAAGGTTTTCGTTTTCCCCCTCAACCGTGACTGTTTCTTGGGCCGGCAGGATAGGCTTTTGTTCTAGGGGTGTGGAGAGAGGGCCCCTTGGCAGCGTCCAGGGCCAACTGGGAACCAAGCAGGAATCGTATTTGTGCAGCCTGGAGTTCGAGGCTCTGGGTGCGAGTCGTAGTGCTTAAGCAGGAAGCAGCTGCCTGATGCCCCTAGCCCCAGGCCGCCCTGCTCTGCCGTTTCGAGGGCGTGGGGGTCTTCTGATCTCCACCTTGATGCACCTCCAGGCCCGGGTCCTTTTGGGGTCTGGCACAGCAACCTGCGTTTGACAGCATGGGCGTCCGCTGATGCTGAGAGCTCAACTTCTGGTCCAAGGAAGATCTTTTCTCTTCGGGGAACAGTCATACATTGTTTAACGAAAAGGATACATTCCTTCTGAGAAATGCGTCCTTAGGTGATTTTGTCCTTGTGTGAACACAGAGTGCACACACTGGCCCTGGTGGCACAGCCTGCTACACGCCGAGGCTGTGTGTCACAGCCTGCTGCTCCAGGGCCACGAGCCTACGCGGCAGGTGACTGTGCTGAATAGCGTAGGCAGCTGTGACTCACTGGTATTTGTGTATCTAAAGCCATCTAAACATAGAACAGGTGCAGTAAAAATACCGCGCTGTGATATGGGAGCACTGTGGCATTGCTTGTTGACCGAAGGTTATGTGGTGCATGACTGTATGTTCGTTTCCTGTGGGCGCTGGAACTAACGACCTCACGCTTGCTGGCTCAAAACAACAGCAGTCTATTCTCTCTCAGCCCTGGAGAGCGGAAGCCTGCCTGGTGGAGGCGCTAGGGGAGTATCCTACCTGCCTCTCCCAGCTCTGGGTGGCCCAGGCATCCCTGTGCTTAGCTCCAGCAGCCGCCTCAGTGGCCATGTGGCTTCTCTGTGTGGTCAAGCCTCACTTTGCCCCTCTCTTATGAGGACCTTTGGGATGACACGTAGAACCCACCTGGATGATCCAGGGAGGCCTTCCACCTCAATTTAATCCCGTCAGCAAAGTCCTTCCTTTGCCACATGAGGTAACATTCACAGGATCCGGGAATGGGGACATGGGCATCCTTTGGAGGGTGGTTCAGCTGAGCATGGGATCATGATACAGGTCCTGTGTATAAAATTCAAATACTTGGCAGGTCGGGCACAGTGGCTCACACCTGTAATTCCAACACTTAGGGAGGCCAAGGTGGGAGGATCACTTGAGCCCAGGAGTTTGAGACCAGCCTGGGCAACAGAGCAAGACCCCATCTCTACAAATAATTTTTAAAAATTAGCAGCGCATGGTAGCATGCACCTGTAGTCCCAGCTACTCCAGAGGCTGAGGCTGGAGGATCTCTTGAGCCCAGGAGACGGAGGCTGCAGTGAGCTATGGTTGTGCCACTGCACTCCAGCCTGGGGGACTAGCTAGACCCTGTCTCAAAAAATAAAAATTTAAAATAAAATACATAGAGAATCTCAAGGTGGTGTGGACAGTTCTGAGTGTTGGGGAGAGAACAAAAGAAGGAAAGTGCATTTTGGGTGGCAGAAAGCCCCTAACAGAGCCTTGGGCCCCTGCTTTGAAGCAGCCCTCACAGAAACTGACCACGAGTTATGTTGGGCCCATGACACTGGTTCCCTGGGTGGACACAGCCTGAGCCCAGCCCGCCCTGTCTGGAGCTCTCACCACCCTGCCTGGCCCGTGCCCATGGGCTCACAATGGCTTCAACCCCATTTATGTGTCAGCTCAAGCAGGCCTCCCCAGAGGGCTCATTTGCACTTGGATGCCCTCACCTGTGCTCCCTCTGTGGCTTCAGGAACCCCGGGGTCATTACAGAGCTTGCTAAATTCATCCCTGGACGTGAGATGTGTGTCGTAAGCATCCAGGACTGTCCCAAGATGGGAGAGGCGTTCAGTCATGTTCACTCAAGTGAAGGCTTCTATTCTACTTCCAGATACACCTTTTTAACCTTCAAAGGGTCCAATTTTAACCTTTCTTCCACAAAGCATTTTACGTACCACTAATAGTCCCAGTGCAGACCCCAAAGTTCCCCTGTAAGATTCATTTCCTGTGATTCGAGCACAGCCTGAGGCAGAGCTTTCTGCTGGGTTTATCCTCACTGAGACTCAGACTGCAGAGGGCCAGGAGGAGCCCTGCTTTTTGCAAGCAATACCACCTGGGGTAGGACCCACAAGTGACATCCTTTGTGCGTGGATCTGGCCTTGGCCTCCGCACCGTCTGTTCAGCAAGTCCCTCCTTTGCCTGCCAAGGCTGAGGTCCTGTACTTTTGTGTGTGGATCTGGCCTTGGCCTCCGCACCGTCTGTTCAGCAGGTCCCTCCTTTGTCTGCCAAGGCTGAGGTCCTGTACTTTTGCAAAGGTCCAGGCTGTTTGGTGCAGCTACAATCAGGGTGCGTGGTTTCTCTATGAACGCAAACAGCGGTCTCAAGGGGAAGGCCCCGGCAGAAAGTGCATCATGCGGGACACGGTGCAGGCGCTCCGAAGACGCCTCCTGCTCACTTCTGGCCTCCACCCCCTGCCCTGCAGGGTGACAGATGGCTGTGCCTACACATAAAACACCAGACGTGACCAATAACTATCTTATAATAAATATACTCGAACTTCTCAACTAGAACACAGAAATGCTTTCAGGAAGTACATCGCGCACCACCACGTGTGGTCCTGTGTGCAGCGGCGTGGGCCTCGCCCCGTCCCATGAGCCAGCGTGATGGGGGAGAGACCCTGAGTCTCCAGAACCCAACGGAACGTGGGTCTGCAGTGACGACGGAGACGCAAAAAAACAAGAATCCGAAGAGGAAAGAGACAACGTGAGGAAAGTTGCCTTTGTTCTAGGAAAAGTCTTTTTCTTCACAGTATAGTGACTCATTTATAAAGAGGAAGTGAGTTCTGTTGAAAAATACTTGAAATATTCTCTTAGGGGGAGAAAGCAGTTCTTCACCAGCTTGGTGGGCCACTTGGCCGCGAGCTTCGAGCTCTGCTTGTTCTGGGCCAGCAGGGACAATTCTTCTTCCGAAACCAGAGCCCAGTGCCTGCTGCTGAGAGGAGGGGAGGGAAGGTTGTGAGCAAGCGCAGCGCCCACTGGGTGGCCCCGGAGATGGGGCTGGGAAGGAATCGCTGCGAGGGGGCGAGGGGAACAGCCTGCCTCTCAGTTGTCCCAGGTGCCTAAGACCCCCCCCCCGGAACCCCCGCCTGATTCTGGGAGTTTTTCTCATGGAGGTGGAGTGAGCAACAGGGGACCAGATGACTCCCTTGCCTCCCGCCTCCCCCGGCCGGGGGCTGGTCCCCTGGGAAGCAGGCTGGGGGTCACTCCGTGTGAACAGCGAGCTCCAGGGCCATCGCTAGAGGATGTCACCATCCCTGGGCAGCACCCCCGCAGAGGAAAGGACAGGACTCTGGGCAAAAGTTGGCCAAACCCTCGCAGAGTCAGCGAGCATTCCCAGGGAATTCTATCACAAAGGCCGTCCCCTGGGTTCCTGGGGCTGCCTGTGCCGGGAGCCCCAGCCCTGGGTGCAGGAGGGCAGGTGGTGAGAGGAAAGGTCCCCTGCCAGCCTGCTGTGAGGAGCCCTTGAGGAAGACGGGCTTTGCAGACTTGGCACCAACACCCCCTCTCCTGCTCCCAGCCACCCCACTGGAGGCCAGGAACATTTCTCAGTTTATTTTGGGGTGAAGACTGCGAGTGAAGTGCCAGATACAGTGTCCCCCTCCTCCTCCTCCTCCTCAGGCACCCTCCCTAGGGCAGTGGGGACTGTCCTTAACCATCCTGGGGGTGATGGTGGCTACCTCTGCAAAAGGATTTCTCCTTTCAGTGAGTGGGTGTCTCTCATGTCACTGTTGAGACACCCAGGAGCCTGGGAGGGAAACCTGTGGGAAGGAACTGCCAGCCTCCTTCTGGGAACCAGGTGACCCCAGGATCACGGCTCAGGTGGATCCAGCCCTCGAAACCCTGTGAGGAGCTCTGTGGAGCCTCGCTCAGAAAGGGGGGCTGGGAAGAAGCAGCTGCCAGCCCACAGCCCAAGCCTGCAGGGGCCACAAGTGTGGCCACTGGAGCAGAGGGAGGTGCCTTTTGTGGAGCAGCAACCCTGGGTCTGGCTGCACCTGCCACTTAAGAACCCTGATGGGGCGCTGTTCTCACTGCTGTGTGGACGCATAGAGCCTCCGGGGGCCAAGGAGCCTCTGGGGCCAGGCAGCAGGTGAGGCATGGCCTGTAATGCACACAGGTGTTGCTGGGTCTGCCCCCACCTTCACCCCCGCTCACCCAGCCCCACAGAGCCTGGCATGGCCTCCCAGGAAGTGACATGGCGGGGAACAGGCTTAGGGTTAGGGGGAGGCTGTGCGAAGGCTGGCATGCAGGTGAGAGGGCTTCTGAAGAGAAAGCATGCTGGAAAAGTGCTTCGGCTCAGCCCCACCCAAACTCAAATCCAGGGGAAGCCAGGCCAGCAAGACCTGCAGGTGCCATGCCTTGGCAGGTGCCAGGCAACAGGATCGTGCCTCGGTGGTGACGTGGGAGATGCTGGAACCGGGGAGGTGAGAGGGAGTAAGTTTCCAGAACTCACTCTCAGGCAGGAGGAGATCATGACTCAGCTGAGCCAGAAAGCGCTCGTTCCACACGAATGCACGTATGAGCGAGGCACGCCAGGCGAGTGTGGGAGTGAGGGGATGGATGGGCGGTTGGCTGGAGGTCGTGAGGTCTGGGCCGCCTGGAAAGGCTGTTGAGGGGCGGGGGCAGCTGGGAGAGGCTGTGGGGGCAGCAGAAGGGGGTGCTTAGCCGCAGAGAGGGCACGTGGGGAAAGGCCATGTGTTCAAGGCCCCAAAAGGTGGGGAGGGCAGCCCAGGAGTGCACCGCAGGGGGTGCAAGCGTGTGGGTGGGTGAGACTGATGCGTGTGTGCCTGTGTGATTGTGAGCACATGTGAACGTGTGGATGCAGGTGGTAGTCGTGAGTGTGCTTGTGTGAGCATGTGACTGAGGGAGCATGTGGGTGTGTGGATGAGCGTGACTGTGGGGATGACTGTGTGTGCATGCATGAGCACACAGGTGTGTGGATGAGCGTGACCGTGGGAATGACTGTGTGTGTGTGCATACATGAGCACACAGGCGTATGGATGAGCGTGCAAGTGAGTCATGTGAGTGTGGCTGAGTGTGAGCACGCATGAGCTTGTGGGTGTGCAAGGGAGGTGGGGAGGCCACACGGAATGAAAGCCTGGGGGCTGCAGCCGATTCAGGGCCAGGCCGCCATGGCGCATATGGGTGTCCAGGGGCTGGACCCCGAGAAGCTGAGAGCCAGTGCTGGAGAAGCTCCCCAAGGGGAAAGGGGCATCCTCAGGCTTCGGTGTCTTCAGGGTCTCAGGGTGGCCCCGAAGGCCGACCGCAGTCCCACTGGGGCGCAGAGGCTGCTCTGGGCTTGGCTCTGCTAGACAGACCCCATTTCCTCAGTGAACCCCGCTTCTGGGTCCATGTTCCCCTTGACCCTGAACGCTTTCAGCTGCCCAGGAAATACCTCCTTATGGCTGGGATGTTGCTCCACACGCGGACAGCATTCTGCAAGGATCCGCCGTGGACATCTGGGATGGTGACTGGCTCCATCTGGGGGCGGGAGGGTCGGCCGTGGGTCAGGGGACCTGGACGGTAAGCGCCCCCCACAGGCCCACTGGCCTCAGCCGCCAATGGCCCTGAGTGGTCAATGGACTTTCTAGCCCGACTGTGTTCCCTACGTCCTTTTTTCTTATGAATCACCTTTGGAGAAAAATGCTGATGAATTATTTTAAACTGACAGAACAGACTCTGTGGCAATAAGATATCAAATTACAAACAGGACCTCAGGCCGCGCCAGGCAAGGGTCGAGCCGAGCCGCGTGCCCTACACTGAGAGGACGGACTCTGCCCTCACGCCACAGCTGCTGCTTTTTCTGCAGCGGCTAAACACGCACTGGCCCCGCGATGAGGATGAGCAAGGTTCAAATGACTGCAGCTCATCCACCTGCAGATGCCAACTGACCACGTTCCACAGCCATGACCACAGCTCTGACTGGGCAGGAGACTGACTTCAGGAACCTCCTCCTGATAAGGGACCCCGACCACAGACTGGCTCCGGCCGGTTTACAGAGGTTGTGCGCTTGAGGGCCTGTGTCCTGAGAAGACCTCTGAGGTTTAGGGCCTCATTGCGACACACTGACATGATAAGACTCCACCCCGGAGTGAACAGAGGTCGTAAGTTCCACGGATTTTGTTCAGTACGCACGCAGCAGGACCCCCTTCATGAATATTCACCGCTCCTCCATAACCTGCCGCACAGGTTTAGCCAACCCGGTCAGCACGGAGCTCCTGCCCCAGCCACCCCTCCCCTTCGAAGTGCCTCCTCCTGGCTCCTCTGGTCTTGGTGGAGGCCCCGTGCTTCCCAGCCTGGGGGACGGGACCTTGCAGGCTGTGCCCCTTTACAGAAACAAAGTCTCCTGTTCTAAAAGCACAGACTTTGTGATTTTCAGCTCATGGCGTTTGCTCCCCTTCTGAATAGCTGGATTTGCATTCCAGCCACTCCACGAGATTCCAGCACCAAAG
This sequence comes from Homo sapiens, assembly GCF_000001405.40. Taxonomy (NCBI): domain Eukaryota; kingdom Metazoa; phylum Chordata; class Mammalia; order Primates; family Hominidae; genus Homo; species Homo sapiens. The sequence goes on along the minus strand of NC_000021.9, from coordinate 5,013,414 downwards.
GAACCTCAACGCCACCTGGACCCCCAGCAAAGGCTCTGGCCCACAGGTGCTGCCCACTCGGTGGGTCGGGCCCCCGCTGGCTGTGGCCCCTCCATGGAACCTGAGAGCATGAGGAAATTCCCCCTCCTGAGCCTCACGCCTGTCTCCTGTGGCTGAGGTGTGGCCGTCCCTCCCCAACCCTGGAAGTGTCTGGAACACCCGGCCCATCAGCCCCAGAGGGGACCCATCCGCTGAGTCCAAAAGTGGCTGCTCTGACAATCAGGATTCAGACGTGTGAAGAAAAGGCTGTATGTGTGTGGTGTGAGTATGTGTGCACGTAGTGTGCCTGTGTGTGTGTGGCAAGTGTGTCCCTGTGTGTGGTGCATGTGTACAGTGACTGTGCACTGCAGTGTGTGTGCACCTGTGTGTGTGGTGTGATGTGCGTGTGTGTGGGTGGAGACTGAGGGGGCAGGGGCAGGAGGTGAGCCCCCGAGGCCGTGTTCTGTGAGCACAGGAGTGGTGCGAGGTGGGACTGCCCTCCCATGCTGTCCTTGAAGGGGCTTTGTGTCCCAGGCCGCAGTCCCTGCCCGGACTGCACAGCAGCTCTCCTGGGCCCTGTACACACCTGGAAACCAGGGGCCGCAAGGAGCCAGGCCCGGAGCCTGGGGTGTAGACTGAGCTCCACCAGAAAAGCCCCTCCCTCACGTGGGCAGGGGTCAGAGGGCGGCCCACGCAGCCCTGCACGCACCTCCAGGAAGCGAGATGCGACGTCCAGGTCTTCCTTGTTCAGCACCAGATTGTCCACGAACATCCAGAAGAAGGGCCTGGGGCTGCCTGGCTTGGGCCGTGCGTACTGCAGGAGCCGGTGGAACTGGAACAGGTACCAGCCTGGAGTGGGGTGAGGGGGCAGGGCTGAGGGGGGGCCGGGGGGGCTGGTCATGGGGACGCTGTTCAGGTGCATCTGGGCAGGGGCCTAAGGAAACTGGGGCTTGAGAGAAGGGCTGAGGGGGTCGAGGGGACGCACCGGCCTGGGTCTGAGGGATCCCCCTGCCCCTGTCCCTCCAGCAGCAATGAAGCCCTGCCCAGTGCTGGGGCCACAGAGGTGCATGGACCCCTCCTCCCCCAGGCAGGCCTAGAGTGGGGAAGAGACAGACAGGCAACCCCGAGGGAGGAGCTGACGCAGAGCGCGTGCCGCGGCACAAATACCGCCTTTTAGAGGAAGCTCCAGAGGACACGTGAGCTGCAGTGATGTGGGCACGCTGGGGGCTGCATGGGGTCAGCGGGAGGCTTGGGGGCACAGGGAAGCCTGCAGTGATGGGGACTCTTACTCTGTTGCTCTCTTACTCTGATGAGGGGTGCATGGGTGTGGAGCTAGCTCAGAACTCATCCAGTCGGACACACTGAATGCGTGCAACTTACTGTATGTCAGTGGTGCCTCGATAAAGCTGTTTTTGAAAAATGCTGACAATTTGCAGTTTCTGCCCTGGCATGGAGGTGTGAGGAGAGAGGAGAGGAGACAGGGGTGGTGGGGACAGGCTGCCAGAACTGAAGCATCACTCACTGGGAGGACGGTCACAGGTGTGGCCCAGGGGAGGTGTGGCGCCGTACACAAGATCGAAGGGTCCCCACTCCTCCACCTGCAGGACAGAGGGGAGTGGGCACTGAGAGGCAGCAGCAGTGGGCAAGGTCGCGTGCGGCAGCACGAGATGACCCCAGGGCAGACCCTGCTCAGCTCGCAGGGCCCACAGGCCAGGGCAAGCTGAGGAGTGGAGCCCACTAGGGCAGAGCCATCCACAGCCACCACCAGCCTCAGGGGCTGCCTGCCTGGAGCCCAGAGGAGAAAGCTCCGGGTCTGAGGTGAAGACTCTGTGCCATGCATTTGGGGACTGAATTCTGCCTTTATTTTTTCTTGCTCAAATTCCTTTCTAAGGAGCGTAGGGGAATCACGCCTTACAAACCACAAAAGCTTGTGGAATGGGTGTTTTTGACCTGGTATATTGTGACTCTGCCATGGCACCACATGACAGACAGCAGACCTCCTTATTTTAACTCAAGCATTCCTTTCTACTGACTCCCAGTTTTTAGGCAAAGCTCAACTCTTTCAACCAACTGCCAACTAAAGAATCCCTAAACCCACCTATAACCTGTAAGCTTCAAGATATCTCGCCTTTTGGGGCTGATCCAATGCACATCTTCTATGTATTGATTTATTGATTGATTGATTTTTTGAGATGGGGTCTCACTCTGTCACCCAGGCTGTAGTGCAATGGCGAGATCTCGGCTCACTGCAACCTCTACCTCCTGGGCTCAAGCAATCCTCCTGCCTCAGCCCCCTGAGCAACCCCAGGTGCACATCACCATGACTAGCCAACTTTTTTGTATTTTTGGTAGAGATGGGGTTTCACCAAGTTGCTCAAACTGGTCTTGAACTCCTCAGCTCAAAGTGCTGGGATTACAGGCGTGAGCCACCGCGCCCGGCCCGTGTACTGTTTTCTGATTCCACCTGCAGTTCGCATCTCCCTGAAATGTACAAAACCAATTGTGCTGGGAGTGGTGGCTCACGCCTGTAATCCCAGCACTTTGGGAGGCAGAGGCGGGCGGATCACGAGGTCAGGAGATTGAGACCATCCTGGCTAACACGGTGAAACCCCGTCTCTACTAAAAATATAAAAAAATTAGCCAGGCATGGTGGCGGGCGCCTGTAGTCCCAGCTACTCGGGAGGCTGAGGCAGGAGAATGGCAGGAACGCGGGAGGCGGAGCTTGCGGTGAGCCGAGATCACGCCACTGCACTCCAGCCTGGGCGACAGAGCAAGCCTCCGTCTCAAAAACAAATAAATAAATAAATAAAATAAAAATAAATAAATACATAAAACCAAATTGTAACTGACCGCCTCAGGTGCACTTCCTCGGGATCTCTTAAGACTGTATTTCCCAGGCCATGGTCACTCTTATTGGCTCAGAATAAACCTATTTAAAAACTTTGGCAGAATTTGGTTTTTCTGTCTGTCCTCACATTGCCCTTAGAGAACCAGTCCTGGGAGGCCCAACATGCAGACTACCTAGGGAAGTAACTGTCATCTGTGAACACAGCAGGTGCCGTCCGCAGCCCTCCAGGAGCTAACAGCAAGGGCAGAGCCTTCCCTGCTGAACAGAAACAGCCCCCACAGAGTAGCTCCCTGGGGACCACAGAGTAGGTCCCCACAGGCTATTCCATGGCCGAGCTGGAAGAAGACAAAACACAGCCACCCAACAATCTTGCCTGAACACATGCCCTTCAGTCACAAAAAGTGACCAAGGGGAGGCTGTGAGCAACACTGGCTTCATTAACAGTGATGGCCCTCACTCTGTCATTCTTATTAAATAAAAATTAACAGCTGGACGTGGTGGCTAACACCTGTAATCCCAGCACTTTAGGAGGCCAAGGCGGGTGGATC